>NC_000001.11:235578060-235729576 GCF_000001405.40 Homo sapiens
AAGTCTTGCATCACATAGATTTTTCTGCAAAGCCACACTGTGCCCTGAAACCAGGGATGCCTAGGGCTGAAAACCATGTGTGAGCTTCATACTCATTAGGGTGACTATTATTAAAAAAACAGACATCACTAGATCATCAGGGAAATACAAATGAAAGCTACAGCAAGATATCACATCAAACCTGTTAGGATGGCAATTATCAAAAATACACAAGATGACAAGTGTTGCTGAGTTTGGAGAAAAGGGAACCGTGGTATGCCATTGGTGGGAATTAAATTTAGTACAGCCATTTTGGAAAACTGTGGATGTTTTTCAAAAATTAAAAATAGAACTACCATAGGATCCAGCAATCCCACTACTAGGTATATAACCCGAGGAGACGAAATCAGTATGTCAAAGAAAGATCTGTGTTTCTGTGTTCATTGCAGCATTAGTCAAAATAGCCAAGTTATGGAATCAACCTAAGTGTCTATCAGCGAATGAATGGATAAAGCAAATGTGGTATATTTACACAATAGAATACTACTGAGCCCTAAAAAAGAAGGAAATCTTATTACTTGAGAAAATATGGGTAACCCTGAAGGATATTATATTAAATGAAATAAGCCATGCACTGGACAAATACTGCATGATCTCACTTATATGTGGAGTGTAAAAAAGTCAAATTTATAGAAATAGAGAGTAAAATGGTGGCTACCTGAGGCTGTGGGGTGGTGAGATTAGAGAGATGTTGGTCAAAGGACACAAAGTTTCAGGGCTGGCTGCGGTGGCTTAGGCCTGTAATCCCAGCACTTTGGGAGGCCAAGGCAGGCGGATCACCTGAGACCAGGAGTTTGAGACCAGCCTGGCCAACATGGCGAACCCCGTCTCTACTAATAATACAAAAATTAGCTGGACGCGGTGGTGCACACTTGTAATCCCAGCTACTTGGGAGGCTGAGGCAGAAGAATTGCTTGAACCCGCGAGGCAGGGGTTGCAGTGAGCCGAGATCATGCCACTGCACTCCAGCCTGGGTGACAGAGCAAGACTCCATCTCAAAAAAAAAAAAAAAAAATTCAGTTAGAAGAAATAAATTCGAGAGGTTTATTGCACATCATGGTGACTACAATTAATAACAATGTATTGTATACTTGAAAATTGCTAAGAGAATAGGTTTTAAGTGTTCTCACCACAGAAAACTAAGTATGTGAGAGAATACATACATTAAATGGCTTGACTTAGCCATTCCACAATGTATGCCTATGTCAAAACTTCATGTTGTACACCATAAATATACACCATCCCCCTCAGTACTGTCGTCATGATAGTGAGTGACTTTAATTTTTACTTGTCAAAGTAAATACATTAATAAAAAAAAAAAAGTAAATACATTAATAAAAAAAAACCCAGAAAACAAGTGCTGGTCAGGATGTGGAGAAACGGGAATTCCTGTGCACTGCTGGTGATGACGTGACGTGATGAAGCCCCTGTGTAAGCAGCGTGACAGTTCCTCCAAAGGCTGAACATAAGGCCGGGCATGGTGGCTCAGGCCTGTAATCCCAGCACTTAGAGAGGCCGAGACAGGCAGATTACCTGAGGTCAGGAGTTCGAGACCAGCCTGGCCAACATATAGTAAAACCCTGTCTCTACTAAAAACAAAAATTAGCTGGGTGTAGTGGCTCATGCCTGTGATCCCAGCTACTTGGGAAGCTGAGGCAGGAAAACCACTTGAACTCAGGAGGCAGAGGTTGCAGTGAGCTGAGATCATGCCACTGCACTCCAGCCCAGGCAACAGAGTGAGACTCCATCTCTCAAAAAAAAAAAGGTAAAAAGGTTGAACATAGAGTTACCCTATGATCCAGCAATTCCACTTGTGGGTACCCAAAGGAACCAAAGTAAAGACTCCAACAGATACCTGCACACCCATGTTCCTAACAGCATTATTTACAATAGTCCAAAGGTGGAGATAACCCAGGTGTCCATCAATGGATGAATGGATAACAAAATGTGGTCTATCCATGCAATGGAATACAACTCAGCCCTGAAAAGGAATGATGTTCTGATACAGGCTACAACATAGATGGATCTTAAGGACGATAAGTTAAGTGAAATAAGACAGGAACAAAAAGATAAATACTGTATGATCCCACTTATATGAGATACCTAGTGTAGTCAGATTCACAGAGGAAAAAGGTAGAACGGTGGTCACCAGGCATGGGCAGGGCGAATGGGGAGTTGGCACTGAATGGGTACAGAGTTTCTGTGTGGGAAGATGAGAAAGTTCTGGAGGTGGATGCTGGTGATGGTTGCACAATATTGTGAATGTACCTAATACTGATGAATTGTACATTTAAAAATGGTTAAAATGATAAATTGTATGTTATATATATTTTACCACAACTAAAAAAATTAATGTTCAAGGGTGTCCAAGCAAGAAAAAAACAAAAACCACCCATGTGTGCTCACGCATCTTTGGCACAGATGCGGTTCCTAGGTTCAGCTCTCTCCTCAGGCATTGTCTCTTCAATGACAACATTCTGTTTCCACCAACTCTGTTTCTGAACCAAATCTGACACAGCTGTCACTGGCCTACTCCCTGGAATTACCACAGGATCTGAATTAGCCTCTGGCAGGCCCCCTGAGGAATCTTGCTTTCACGTTTCCATTATGGTCAGCACAGCAACATGGCGGCCTATCCCGTTTTTTGTTTTTTTTTTTTTTTTTTTCCTGAGATGGGGTCTTCCTCTGTTGCCCAGGCTGAAGTGCAGTGGCACAATCTTGGCTCACTGCAAACTCCACCTCCTGGGTTTAAGTGATTCTTCTGCCTTAGCCTCCCAAGTAGCTGGGATTACAGGCACACGTCACCAGACCCAGCTAATTTTTGTATTTTTTAGTAGAGATGGGTTTTCACCATGTTGGCTAGGCTAGTCTCGAACTCCTGACCTCAGGTGATTCACCTGCCTCGGCCTTCCAAAGTGCTGGGATTACAGGCGTCAGCCACCACATCTGGCCTGCCTATCCCTTTGATTGAATATCACCTGAGTAACTGATATGGTTTGGATCTGTGTCTCTGCCCAAATCTCACGTCAAATTGTAATCCCCAGTGTTGAAGGTGGGGCCTGGTGGGAAGTGATTGGACATGGGGGTGGTTTCTCATGAAGGGTTTAAAACCATCTCCCTTGGTACTGTTGTTGTAATAGTGAGTGAGTTCTCAAGAGATCTGGTTGTTTAAAAGTGTGTAGCACCTTGGGAGGCCGAGGCAGGCGGATCACGAGGTCAAGAGATTGAGACCATCCTCACCAACACGGTGAAACCCCGTCTCTACTAAAAATACAAAAAATTAGCCGGGCGTGGTGGTGGGCGCCTGTAGTCCCAGCTACTCGGGAGGCTGAGGCAGAAGAATGGCGTGAACCCGGGAGGCGGAGCTTGCAGTGAGCCGAGATCACACCTGGGCGACAGAGCGAGACTCCGTCTCAAAAAAGAAAAAAAAAAAAGGTGTGTATCGCCTCCCCCTTCTCTCTCTTTCTCCTGCTATGTAAGATGTGCCTGCTTACCCTTCACCTTCTGCCATGATTTTCAATTTCCTGAGGCCTCCGCACCCTCCGCCCTGAGAAGCCAAGCAGATACAGGCATCATGCTTGCTGGACCACCTGTGGAACCACAGGCCAATTAAATCTCTTTATAAATGACCCAGTCCCAGGGATTTCTTTACAGCAATGTGAGAATGAACTCCTACAGTAACTCATTTGTCTTTGACTTTCCTCTTTCTTTTAGTGACAGTGTGTGTGCCTAAGTGACTCTTGAAGAAGCCTTCATTCTTGAAGACACCCGGTCCTCACAGGGGCTCCTGGGGCGGTGTCTGTGGCAGGTGAAGATGCTATTGCAGAATTTATCTTCCTTGCCAGAAGAGAACGCCTGGGCAAAGGAGAACTGCCTTATAGCCCAAACTGGGGCCCACTGTCTTTTCAGGTCTCTGGCCATGGGGCTTGACAGCTGGATTCTAACGTCTCTCTCCCTAGTGCCTCCCACGTTTACTCTCCATGTTCTGTTGATTTTCTTGGTGTGTTTGCCTCCCCGATCGCATCTTTGCTGTCTGCTCCACACTGTACCCGATTTCTGCCCCTCCTTGCCTCTCTTGATTACTCAGAGCTTCAACTACCTCCTCACCTCTGACAACTCCGTCTATTGCTTACAGGTTGGTTCACCTCACACACCTGTCACCTCATGGCTGTGGCTTCCGCACCTGTGTGCATGGCGCCCTCCTCCCATAGCTCTCTTCCCAGCACAACCTGCAGCTCCTCCCGCTGCCCAGCTGCTCCACACGAGCCGTGATTAGCTCACACCGGCCTTTCCTCCTCCACTATCAGCTCAGAGCCAGCCATAGCTCACAACTCTGAGAAGTCTTCCCTGAGCCATACGGAGGAGACTGTCGCCTTCACATTTCTCTCCCAGGACCCTTCAAGTATAGATTAGGTGCTCAGCAATGCCTTTCACTGCAGTCCTCATCCTTTTTCCTGTCTGCACTTCTGGAGCACGGGATGCCTGCAGCTTTCATTTGAAACCCCTTTCTATGCTATTGGGACCCGCTGTGTCTTAGAATTGTTTTCTGGGTTCTAAACTTGCTCCCTCCTCTAGTCTAGAGACCAAGGACTGACATGTAATTTGCAGTTGGTATCGGTATGTATGAGATGTAGATGCTCTAGTAACATGGGTCCGGTGATACTGACTTACATCACGCTGGATTCCTTCCTTGCTTCATATACCCTCATGTAACTTTCCGTGCATATTTTCTGCCTCCTTGGAGAGGTTGTACCCCCAGAGCTCCAGGGGAAAAGAATAACTGTCCACACAGAGGTGAGTATTGGTGCTTTCTAGCCATACACTAGCATGAGGGGAGGGGTCAGGGAGGCTCTGTCCATAGAAGGCTTCAGGAGTCGCCCGTTGCCATGGATTCTGTGTTTTTTGAATCCCAGATGCCCAGGTGAGACCTCTGATTTGTGTTCCCCAAGACCACAGACACATGGAGCTTCCTGGCATCAGGTTCCCGACACCAGAGTTGGGGTTCCTTTCAACTCTATTACAGTCAACGAGCGTCATGCTCACGGACTCGTTCAGAGCCACATGCTTTGCCTGGCCTTCTGCTCACCTCTGAGTGGCATCTGGAGAAGAGGTGGCTTCATCTTGCTGCAGTCCTCCCAGCGTGGAGAGACCTGCACTCATCAGTGAAATGAATACAACGGGAGGTGTCTGGAACCTTTCTTCATTTTCACCAAAGGAATATTTGACACACCCAGGCATGGTTCAGAGCTCCACCCTCAACAATAATCCTGTCAAAATATCCGATGTTGTTGAACCTCAAAGGCACTGTATCACAGCAGAAAAGTGATTGATCTCATTGCTAAACTCTCTTTCTTGCTTATTGGCATGACAACGGAGCTAAATAGAGCCGAGATGAATTATGAGTCTATTTTTGGAGACTCCTTATGGAATTCATGCACACTGTGTATTTTGCATCCTTTGAATCCTTGGGCACACTTAGAACTGTGAAGCAAACACTCATTTGTAAATGTTACAGCTGCCAAGGTTGGCTGCATGCTCTGCTGGGTGACGTGTTAACTCTCACAAGTCTGCTTTGGAAGCAGGAGGAATGTTTTGAGCTGAGCTTCGGGCGGAGGGTGGGGCTGACGCATGCATGCTTACCTTGACCCTGTCCATACAGGCTTCCATCTTTAGCTGCTCCACAGCTTTCCTGGCTTGGGAGATGCTAGTGGTGCTGTTATTAGACATGCCCTCTTTCATTCTACTGCCCCTAGAAGTAACCAAAGTAAAAGGGTTAGAAGAGCTGCTCTTCCAAGGGTAGGGGAACCCCACCTCCCACCACCTACAGCTTCTCTGTCCAAGCCAGGGAGCATCTGGGAGCATGGACAGCATTTGGTAGAAAACCCTCCTGGGATAAGAGAAAGGAATGCCTCATTCGAGTAAGAGGAGCAAGACATGATGCTTTTGTTTGGAAAAACTTTCTCAGTCCCGGGGACAGTGAGAAGAGAACAGAAGGTTCCAGAATGACTTTTCCATCACCCCCACCACTGCCACCACCATCACCACCACGACCATAAGTAATGCTTGGACATTCGTATAGTGCTTTGAGTCATCATTCACTTTCACACACGTTTGCTCATTCATTGCTCTAGCAGCCCATACAGTTGGTGGGACAATATTAATTTCTATTTTGCAAAGGAAGAAAGTGCAAAAATCAGAGAAATTAAACCAATAGCCAAAGATCCTACAGCCAACATTTGTGGATCCAGAACTCAAACTCAAAGCTTTGAAGCCTAGCCGAGTGTCTCAAATGGCCTCTCCTAACAATCTATGGCTCATAACACACATTTCTAATGAATAAAATTGCTTTATTAATTTTAATTTGTTGTCCTTCCAAAAAGTTTACAGACTTTGTGTTGAGAGTTTGTTTTCAACAATAAACACACGCACAAACACACACTCTCTCTCTCTTTCTTCCCTATCCCAAGCATAGATTTATTTTCTAGAGGGAGGCAGAAGAAATTCTCCCTAACCCTACACACATTGATGCCCCGTGACTAAGACCAGTGTAGTGCTACCTGTTTCACAGAAAGCATGTGCTACACACATCACAATTGCAATTGCCCCGTCTAATGAGAATCTGCTTCAAAGGAAGCCTAAAACTAAAGCCTGAGAGCTGGGGACAGGTCACTGAGAGCAGAAACACAAGTGACACTGGCTCCCAAAGGTACAGATGAGGTGGGAAGAGGCCCTGGCCACCATCTATTATTCGTCTGCTTCTGTTTATATTTTATTTCAGTTTTAGGTTTTTTTCCCACCTCACAACTGTTGGACTTTATTGTATTAATTTAATTGAGTATGTAAAGCAGCAACCATACTTTCAAAGTTAAAATGATGCAAATTGATATTCACACAGGTGTCACTTTCACTGCCCATTCCAATCCTTTTCTCCCCTCCCACCTACCTCCTATGGGCAACCAATCACACTGGACTCCAGTCTATTCTTTCCTATGCTTCTTTTTTCTCCTTCCTTCCTTCCCTCCCTCCTTCCCTTCCTCCCTCCCTCTGGTCTTCCTTCCTTCCCATCACGTTGGACTCCAGACTATTCTTTCCTATGCTTCTTTTTCCTTTTCCTTTCCTTTCCTTTCCTTCCCCTTCCCTTCTTCCTTCCTTCCTTCTTTTTGAGATAGGGTCTCTGTCATCCAAGCTGTAATGCAGTGGTGCAATCACAGCTCACTGCAGCCTCAAACTCCTGGGCTCAAGCGATCCTCCTGCCTCAGCCTCCTGAGTAGCTGAGACTACAGGTGTGTGCCGCCATGCCTGGCTAATTAAAAAATTTTTTTTTGCTATGTTTCCCAGGCTGGTCCTGTGTTTATTTTCTTAGAAAGTAAGCAGTTACATATATGTTTTCTCATTTCTCCTTCTTTCTTACACAAAAAGATAACGTGTGTGTGCTTTTGAACTTTGTTTTTATATTTAGCAATACATTTTAGAAAGCACCACATATTAGTTCACTGATATGCAAAAAAGATCATACTCATTCTTTCTTAGAACTACATACTACAGTACTCCACTGTGTGGATATACTGTATATTTTTCAATCCATATATTTACGGGCATTTACATCTATATTCTCATATTATTGTGGGGGTGTGTCTTCAAGGTACATTTCTGGAATTACTGGGTCAAAGGTAAATGCATATTTACTTTTGTGATATATTACCAAATTCTATAAGGTAACATTCTGATAATTTTTGCATCAAGATTCTTAAGTAATTTTGGAATTCAGTACTATTCTTAAGTAATAAATTAAGTCATTTAATGCTACCTTCATCTGGTTTAAATATCAATGTTATACTTGCTTCATACAAAACATTTAGAATTTTTAAGAAATTTTCTATTTGGCCAGTAGGTTAGTGTATGGGACCCACTCTCTCTGTGGGTTTTAATCACATATGAACTAATTCTCTGGCCCAGAAAGGCATAATGGCAACTACATTTGTCCAAAGGCAGTTTTTGAAAAGTAAAATATTCTCGTTAGAAGACAGATCAGCCACCCAAATCAGAGTTTAATAGATGTGTGTCCTTATCTTAGTTTGGAACTTTAACTCAACAACAAGGGAAGGAGAATCACGACAAGTTGGGAGCTTTGAAATCCAAGGAACATCCCCTTCATCCCCCACTCAGCAGAACTGTGCACGCGTTCCTGCACATGTGTTGGTGTGTCCTTGGGTGTGTCTGTATGTGCCCACGTGCCTGCTCGTGCAGGCCTTGTGCCAGTCTGTGTGTGGCCATCTCTCCGTGTGTGTGTGTGTGCTGATGTGTGTCTGCGTTGCTGTGTGTCTACACAAAATGAGGGAGGAGACACAGTCTAGTTCCCAACCCTTCCCAGCTGATGCAATGAAAAAAGGACTCTGATGTGATTTGGATGTTTGTTCCCTCCAAATCTCATGACGAAATGCGATTCCCAATGTGGGAGGTGGGTCCTGGTGGGAGGTACTGGATCACGGGGCCAGATCAGTCAGGAAGGGCTCAGCGCCACCCTTTGGTGATAAGTGAAAGTCACTCTGAGTTCATCCAAGACCTGGTTGTTTAAAAGTGTGTGTCGCCTTCCTGCTGTCTCTCTTGCTCCCACTCTTGCTGTGTGATAGTATGGCTCCCCCTTCACCTTCTGCATGAGTGGAAGCTTCCTGAGGCCTCACCAGGAACAGATGCTGGCTGCCATGCTTCCTGTACCACCTGCAGGACCATAAGCCAATTAAACCTCTTTCCTTTAGAAATTACCCAGTATCAAGTATTCCTTTACAGCAACACAAAACAGCCTACTACAGACCCTACAGTGACTGCCTTCAAATCTTGATCCTGCTCTCCCCATTCTAGACTCCATCCCTCTCGCCCCTTGTCTTTGACTTGGGCATTTAGGAGTTGGGGGAGGTTCAGGGGAGGAGGAGGTAGAGTTTGGGATCAGCAGGGGTGAAGCCAAGAGGACATGGAGCAGGGCAAAGGGAGGAGGGGAGGGCTCTGCACTGTGTGTGAGGGAGTCTGTGGTGAGTAGGAGTGTGTGAAAGTGTGGGGTGGGGGTGAGCGTGTGAGAGTGTGTGGGGGTGAGTGTGTGTGACAGAAAGTATGTGTGAGGGTGTGGGTGAGTGTGAGTGTGTGAGGTGGGGTGTGTGTGATGACAGTGTATGTGAGTGTGTGTGAAGGTGTGGGTTGGGGTGTGTGTGAGGGTGAGGGGTGTGTGTGTGTGAGAGTGTGAGAGCATGTATGAGGGTCAGGGGTGGGGTGTGTGTGAGTGTGTGTGTGAGCACGTGTGTGAGCATGTATGAGGGTGAGGGGTGGGGGTGTGTGTGTGAGGGTGGGTGAGCGTGTGTGAGGGTACAGGGTGGGGGGTGAGTGTGAGAGTGTGGATGGGGGGTGGGGGTGTGTGAATGTGAGGTGGGTGTGTTGTGGGTGTGTGTCAGGGTGTGGGTTGGGGTTGTGAATGTGGGAGGGTGTGGGGTGGCGGTGAGTGTGAGTGTGGGAGGGCATGGGGTGGGGTGTGTGAATGTGGGGTGGAGTGTGAGTGTGGGAGGGTGTTGGGTGTGTGTGTGACTGTGGGGTATGTGTGCGAGTGTTGGGTGTCTGTGTGTGAGGGTGTGTGTGGGTGTGGGTCAGGGTTCAGGGTGGGGGTGAGGGTGAGTGTGGGAGAGTGTGGGGTGGGGGTGTGTGTGTGTGTGAAGGTGAGAGTGTGAATACAGGCACGTCTCAGAGCATGCGGGGTGAACGTGTGTGTAAGTGTATGGAGTGTGTGAGAGGGTGTGGGGGGTGTGTTTGTGTCTGGAGTGTGAGTGTGTGGGTATAAGTGTGAGTCCTTGAGGATGTGTGCACATGTGCACAGGTGGGTCATGTGGCGGGGAGGGAACAGCTAACGTTACCGGGGAAAGCAGCAGAGCCGACTCTCAGTCCCGTCAGGCCCCTGCAGCTGCGCCCACCTCTCTCCCTCCCAGGCGCTGTTCAGACGGCCCTGATCCCTCAGCCCTTCCTCATTCTTCCGCTGTTCAAAAGAAGGGCTCGTTTTCCACATGCCCTACCCTCTCCGCAGAGGAGAGTTCTGGCTGGAGGCTTCCTGTGGGAAGGTCCCACCAGCGCACTGTGCTTTCCTTGTTGTGCGCTGGAGATAAAATAAGCGGGTGGGTGACCCTCTGGGGGTTCCATCCCTCCATGGCCTCCCTCTCAGGCCCTCCATGTGCGTCCACTCTCCAGCCCATGTCTGCCACCCACAGCCGAGGCCCCTGGACCTGGCCCCCAGCGGGGGCTGTGCTCTCCGACCCCAGCTTCTCCCTCAGCCCCTTCTCTGCTGCTTCCTCCTCCCCTGGCTCCATACTTAGCCTCAACAGCATGACCCAACTACCACCACTGTCTCCCAAGAGCCGTCTGCTTCTCTGGCCCTTTCCTCTGTCCCTAAAACCTGCTTCGGTATGGACCCAACTCCTCCCCTCTCCACACTCACGAAGGGGCTGCTCAGCGCTGCTGGAGAGACCCCCCCCACTAAACTCTGCCCATCAGACATCCACAATCCAGCCTCTGCGAGGCCCTCAGAGCTACCTGGCAATAGGACTCCTTGCCCCAAATCATCTCCCCCTCCCTTCATCCTCTTCTTCCAGTCTTCATCACTTCCTCATCACCTCTGACCTTTCCTCCTCAGCAGAGGACCTCAGCCCCTCTGTCTACACAGAATGGCCATTAGCAGAGAACCCTCCTTAATGTTCCCCACCCCACCTACTCCACTCCACACCCACATCCATCCTTGCCTCCACTCAGGGCAGCAGCTCTTCCTCCACAGCAGAGCCTGTAGGACACCACCCACAGCTGCTCCCGACTTGCTGCCCTGCCGGCAGGGCCCTCCTTCCTCCCCAGGGGCTGACAATGGCAGACTCACTTTCTTGCCTCCCTTGCTGTAAGGCCAGAGCACGCGTGTCAGGAACATGGCTGTGCTTTGGTCAAGGATAGGCTGAGGTAAACATCCAGAGTGACTCAGCAAGTTTAGAGCGCAGGCGTATAACTCCACTTGTCATCACAGCCATATAGCCATAACATCGGAAGGCTCATCATTTGGCTCTAAGCCACTGTTGTTTGTAAAAGCTATTATTGCCCTGCTGACACTGTACAGGCATGCTGGCGCCCAGAGAAAGAGCCAAAGCTGTCCATTTTGCAGGTAGACAGGGGGAGCCAGGGCACAGCACAGTTCAGCTCGTGCCCAGAGAGAGAAAGAGTTAAGCTGCTGACCCCGAAGGCAGGGGAGAGTCGGCCATGCAGCTATGTGTGGGAGCTGGCTGCTGAGAGGAGCCACAAAGCCAGAGCAGACAGCTGAGTCAAGGCGGACAGTGTGAGAGAGCTGGTATGAGTCAGCTGCTGAGAGACCTGTTGAGTAAAACTACATTTCACCTGCTTATGGCCCCACGAGTGTTCCTTCAGCTACCTGCCCATCCGCCCACTCCCCTCGAACCTCAGCATGGGCTGGAACCTGACCCCAAGCAGGGCATTTGGTATAGTTGTGAACCTGACAACGTGACCTTGTCCTCCTCAATGGGACATCAGGGGAAATCTGCAGGGACTCATAGGGAGGGTTTTCCTCCCCGACGGAGGGACAAGGGGAGAAAGCTCTGTCTTTGGCCACCTTGAGTTGTGTTTGCAGCTGCCAGAGCCATAAAACCACTGGGGAATCAACCAAGGACACGGTCACTAGTCTAGTGGAGAAAATGACCTGGATCCTTGAGCTGGGTGGGTCCTTGGAAGTCTATTCCTGATCCTTGAAATGAGATAATGTACTCCTCATGGTTCAGGCCATATTTGTTGGGTCATCTGTCACTTGCAGCTGAAGGCATCTTCTCAGCCAAGGCTAACACTTCACAGGTCAGTAGACCGCTCCCCTCCCCAAGGGATCTGCCCTACACTCACCCCTCCATCCTGTAATGTCCACGTCTCTGGCGCTTTTCCTCCTCAGAATATGCAAATATATTTATGCAATCTGCACCTGACCATCTTAAAACAAGCAACAACATCAACAGTCTTCCCTCCCTGCAATCTTCTGCATTCTTGCTTAAGAAGGTGGAGAGGCTGGGTGTGGTGGCTCATGCCTGTAATTCCAGCACTTTGGGAGGCCGAGGTGGGTGGATCACCTGAGGTTAGGAGTTTGAGACCAGCCTGACCAATATGGTGAAATCCCCTCTTTACTAAAAATACAAAAATTAGCCAGGCATGGTGGTGGGTGCCTGTAGTCCCAGCTACTTGGGAGGCTGAGACAGGAGAATTGCTTGAACCTGGAAGGCAGAGATTGCAGTGAGCCGAGATTGCGCCACTGCACTCCAGCCTGGGTGACAGAGTGAGACTGTCTGGAAAAAAAAAGAAGGTGGAGAGGTAACCACAGATTCCCCTGAGAGGCCCCTCAGTAACTAAAGGAAGAGATTCTAATGTAAGGATGAAAAGCCGTCTTTCGGGAGCACTGGGTAAACAGGCCTGCTCCACGGTCTCTGCTCTGCTGCCCTCGGCTCACCCTGATTCTGTGTCTAGGACAGTCACCCTTGTTGCCCAGAGTGATCCTTAAGCGATTTCATGTGTGCGTGTTTGTGTTTTCTCTCTCCAAGGGGCTGCTCTGGCTTCTCCCAGCACTGTGGCCCTGCACACCTGGACGTCCGTATTTTACAATCTCCCAGGCTGATTCTGGCCCGTACCAAAGGAGAGCACCACTGCTGGCTGTGAGCCACTTCTACTTCGTGATTCCTTAGTGTCCAAATTACCTTGCATGGGACGCATAGGATGTCTCATGTACCTTAGGGGCTGTCTCAACTAGTCCTTTTTGAATTTTAACGTGCATATGAATCACCTGAGGATTTTAAAATGCAGATTTTGATCGAGTGGCTCTGGGGTAGGGGCCGAGATCCTGCGCTTCTAACGAGCTTCGTGAGGCTGCTGGTCCACGGACCACACTTTGAGTAGCAAGGCTCTGAATCACTGACTGTTGGTATTGCAGGGGAACATGGAGGTCCGGTTCCAATCCTCTTATTTTTCAGATAAGGAAATATATTCAAGGAGGTTAGGTAACATAATTTCCCAGCGCTCCTCAGCAGGAGTGGAAGGAAGCACTGCTCCGCCACTGCTCCTGGCTCATTACCCACCTTGGCCTAGTGGCGCTTAGGATTTCATCCCCCACACTTGGTCTGTCCTGCTCTCCTGGAACAGACTCATCCCCTGGGTGATCCTAACCTTGCTTAACCTGGGAGTGAGGTGTCAGGAGGGAGCCCCTTCCCTGAGGTGGGCAAAAAAAGCAGGAAATCCCTGGTGGGGGAGAAGGTAATGGCTTTTGCCAATGGTGCTGAAGACAACCACATGCTTTGAAGATAGAGCCCTATAAGAAGGTTTCGGAGGTCCTGCTTCCCCTACCTGGCCAGGTACCCTTTAGGCTCCACCTGAATAACGCCCCTGCCTTTCTGAGACTGTCTGGATGCTATATGTACTTCCATGGGGACTCAGGTATGCCTCCCTGCACAGACATTCATGCGTCTGCACATCCCACCTGGACCCAAGAAGAAAAATGGAAGTAGGAACAGAGAGGAGCTGCAACAAATCTCCACACGCACACTGGCTACCGGCAACACTGACTGGGCTCTCGGCTTTCCAGAAGATGAGGCAAGGGGGAAAAGGGACCATTTGCTTAGGGGTGGCACCTGGGGCCACGTGCTCACACAGCTCTTTCTTCCCAGGTATACAGGAATGTGCTCATGCACATAGGTCGCACCGGGGGTTTCTTGAGATGCAGCAGAGAACCCGTTGTACGGGTCTGTGGGACCCCCAGCAGGGAAATAAAGGAAAATCTTGAGTTCCTTCAAGGGAAATTCCAAGCTAGCACCAAGTTAGCCCTGAGAAGTAAATAAGTGACTTGATAAGCAAGAAGGTAATAGTAGCTTAAAACAATAGCCAAGGAAGCTAGAATTACGAGATGTTTGGTTTCCCTATAGAAACTAAAGATAACATCTTAACATATGTCTCTGAGTTGTTTTTCAGAAACCCGGCCCCCTACGGAATGAATCAGCTGGCACAGAGACCTCAGATGAGGGGGAACTGAGGACTCAACTCTGACTGCTGCTTTTGGTTCTAAATTTCTTCCTGGGCCGGGTACAGTGACTCACACTTGTAATCCCAGCACTTTGGGAGGCCGAGGCAGGTGGATCACTTGAGATCAGGAGTTCGAGGCCAGCCTGGCCAACATGGTGAAACCCCGTCTTTACTAAAAATACAAAAAAGATTAGCCAGGCATGGTGGCACGTGCCTGTAATCCCAGCTACTCAGGAAGCTGAGGCAGGAGAATTGCTTGAACCTGTGAGGCACAGGTTGCAGTGAGCCAAGATCACACCACTGCACTCCAGCCTGGGTGACAGAATGAGACTCTTATCTCTAAATAAATAAATAAATTTCTTCCTGAGGGTCCTGGAGGGAGTCCTGCCCACAAGCCAGAGCTAACATTTTTTTTGCCGACCCCAACATTTTAAACAAAGCTTCTTTTCCTTAAGTGATTGCAAATCAGAAGATCTTTAAATCCATCCACGACCTGTAACCCCTGGCTTGAAGATAGCCGCCCTTTTCGGTCAAAACCACTGTGCAACCGCCATGTGTCGATTTTACAATCTTACCTGTAACTTCTTTCCTGAAATGTACCTCCGACTTTAAAAACCCTTACCTGCAAGCTACTGGTCAGGATTTGAGCATGAGCCGCCGGGTCCTCCTTGCTTGGTGCCCAGCAATTAAACACCCTCCTTTCTTCCACTGCAACACCTCGGTGTGGATATCTGGTCTTACCACGCTGGGCAAGCAGACCCCGGTTTGCTCTGTAACATTTTTTTTTTTTTTTTTTGAGATGGAGTCTTGCTCTTTTACCCAGGCTTGGAGTGCAGTGGTGCAATCTCTGCTCACTGCAACATCCACCTCCCAGGTTCAAGCAATTCTTCTGCCTCAGCCTCCTGAGTAGTTGGGATTACAGGTGCGTACCACTATGCCCAGCTAATTTTTGTATTTTTAGTAGAGATGGGGTTTCACCATGTTGGCCAGGCTGATCTTGAACTCCTGACCTCAGGTCATCCACCCGTCTTGGCCTCCCAAATTGCTGGAATTCAGGCATGAGTGCCTGCATCCGACCATGCTCTGTAAAATTCTGATGGGCTGCATCTTGCAGCACACAACTCAGTAAATACAAAGTTGGGGCTGGGAGACCAATGCAAGGCGGTTCCATCCCCAGTGCTTCTGACCTGACCTGACTCACGGCACAGTACTTAGAATTTCTGGAAGCCAAATGTCATTGTGCCTTTGCAGCCATCCTCCCCAACTACGACTTCTGTCCATGAGCACTTGACAAGTATCTGTAGGCAGAATACTACAGCCGGCCTTCCGGACAATGCCCAAAAGACAGCTGGGTCCGGAATTGGTGGGTTCTTGGTCTCACCAACTTCAAGAATGAAGCTGCGGACCCGCGCCGTGAGTGTTACAATTCTCAATTCTTAAAGGCGGCGTGTCCGGAGTTTGCTACTGCTGATGTTCGGATATGTTTGGAGTTTCTTACTTCTGGTGGGTTCATGGTCTCGCTGGCTCAGGAGTGAAGCTGCAGAGCTTCACGGTGAGTGTTACAGCTCTTAAGGCGGCGCGTCTGGAGTTGTTCCTTCCTCCCAGTGGGTTTGTGGTCTCGCTGGCTTCAGGAGTGAAGCCGCAGACCTTCGTGGTGAGTGTTACAGCTCATAAAGGCAGTGGGGGCCCAGAGTGAGCAGCAGCAGAATTTGTTGCAAAGAGCAAAAGAACAAAGCCTGCACAGCGTGCATGGGGACCCAAGCAGATTACCCCAGCTGGCGCGGGCAGCCTGCTTTTATTCTCTAATCTGGCCCCACCTACATCCTGCTGAATGGTCCATTTTACAGAGAGCTGATTGGTCTGTTTTACAGAGAGCTGATTGGTCCGTTTTGACAGGGTGCTGATTGGTGCGTTTACAATCCCTGAGCTAGACACAAAAGTTCTCCACGTCCCCACTAGATTAGCTAGATACAGAGTGTCCACACAAAGGTTCTCCAAGTCCCCACCAGCGTAGCTAGATACAGAGTGTCGATTGATGCATTCACAAACCCTGCAAACCCTGAGCTAGACACAGGGTGCTGATTGGTGTGCTTACAAACCTTGAGCTAGATACAGAGTGCCGATTGGTGTATTTACAATCCCTTAGCTAGACATAAAGTTTCTCCAAGTCCCCACCAGACTCAGGAGCCCAGCTGGCTTCACCTAGTGGATCCCATCTGGGGCCACAGGTGGAGCTGCCTGCCAGTCCCATGCCATGCGCCCACACTCCTCAGCCCTTGGGTGGTCCATGGGACTGGGTGCCATGGAGCAGGGGGCGGTGATTGTCCAGGAGGCTCAGGCCGTGCAGGAGCCCATGGTGGTGGGGAGGCTCAGGCATGGTGGGCTGCAGGTCCCGAGCCCTGCCCCGCAGGGAGGCAGCTAAGGCCTGGTGAGAAGTTGAGCACAGCAGCTGCTGGCCCAGGTGCTAAGCCCCTCACTGCCCGGGGCTTGCGGGCCGGCCGCTCCCAGTGCGGGGCCGCTAAACCCACGCCCACCCAGAACTCACGCTGGTCCGCAAGCACCGTGCGCAGCCCCAGTTCCCGCCCGTGCCTCTCCCTCCACACCTCCCTGCAAGCTGAGGGAGCCAGCTCCCGCCTTGGCCAGCCCAGGAAGGGGCTCCCACAGTGCAGCAGAGGGCTGAAGGGCTCCTCAAGTGCTGCCAAAGTGGGAGCCCAGGCAGAGGAGGCGCCGAGAGCGAGCAAGGGCTGTGAGGGTTGCCAGCACGCTGTCACCTCTCACAGCTATCCCTGAGCCTGAAGGGACCCAGCAGCTTAAACTGCGAGTGGGGAGGAAGTGAGTGGTGGACCTCCTTTCATCCTTGCTGAACAAGGAAGCTCACTGCAATAGCATCTCTTTTCCCACAGGGAAGCACACAGCACGGTTCCCCAGCCAAGGCCCAGCAGCCCTCGGGGATGGCTCAGTTCTCCTCCCCTGCTCCCCCAACAGGTGCACATCCATTCACATAGGGGATAACAGGAGGTGGCAAAAGGTTTCTAAGGGCCCCGTGTCTGCCGTGGAGGGTGGGAGAAGGGGACAGGACAGTGATGATTGCTAGAAGAAAGTGATGCTGTGAGGACCTGGCCACCATCAAGGATCCTGAGAACTGAGTCTCACCCCAGCCCACACACATGCTCCTGGCGAAGACACCTGCTGTCCTCCTGCCCCTACACAGGGTAAGTCACTCTCCTTACCTGCTGAGAGGCAGCCGTGTGACAGGCCTGGGCAAGGGACAGAGGCTGGCGGTGGCAGCAGCTGTCAGTCGTCAGATGAGAGGTGAATTCAGAGCTTCTGCTTTGAGGTCACCTGAAAGCACAACCAGAGACATGTCTAGAGGTGTGGGGACTCCCTGGCATTGCTCCCAGAGTCCCCATCCACCCTGTCCCATGGTTCCCCTCTCCTCAAACTCAGCAGCCTTCCCCAAAAGCCTGGGGACTCCATATCAGACCTTGGGGAGATGGGGAGCTCGAGGCAGACAGAGAACCCTCAGATCTGACCCAGAGCAGACTGGAAACACAACTTCAGGGCCACAGGCCACCCCGGGCCTCACCAGACTGCTCCCCTGGACCCTGCAAACCTTCATGCCCAGTCGCTCTGCCCCCCAACACAAGGAGCCCCAGCTCCAGCCAAACCTATGCCAAATGGAAACAGGTCACGTGTTTTCTTCTTATAAAAATATACACTTGGGGCCGGGCGCGGTGGCTCATGCCTGTAATCCCAGCACTTTGGGAGGCCGAGGCGGGCGGATCACGAGGTCAGGAGATCGAGACCATCTTGGCTAACTGGGTGAAACCCCGTCTCCACTAAAAATACAAAAAATTAGCCAGGCGTGATGGTGGGCGCCTGTAGTCCCAGCTACCTGGGAGGCTGAGGCAGGAGAATAGTGTGAACCCGGGAGGCGGAGCTTGCGGTGAGCCAAGATCGCTCCACTGCACTCCAGCCTGGGTGACAGAGCGAGACTCTGTCTCAAAAACAAAAACAAAACAAAAACAAACAAACAAAATACACACACACACACACACACACACACACACACACACACACACACCTGGCCGGGCGCAGGGGCTTATGCCTGTAATCCCAGCATTTTGGGAGGCCGAGGTGGGCAGATCAACTGAGGTGGGAAGTTCGAGACCAGCCTGACAAATATGGAGAAACCCTGTCTCTACAAAAAATACAAAATTAGCCAGGCGTGGTGGCACATGCCTGTAATCCTAGCTAGTTGGGAAGCTGAGGTGGGAGAATCATTTGAACCCGACAGGCAGAGGTTGCGGTGAGCCAAGATCATGCCTGGGCAACAAGAGCAAAAAACAAAACAAAACAAAAAAACACCTATTATCAAAAAATGTGCAGATAAAGATAATTACAACAAAGAAAATAAAGACCAGTGATAATGCCTTTTCCCAGAGATAACTATGGTTAGCCTGTTGATGTATAATATACTTACATGCATTAGAAATTTGATTTCAACCAAAGGACATTTAGCATAGAAGAGATCAGACGACTCGAAAGCTCTTTTTTTTTAATATTTATTTTTTGAGATAGGGTCTCGCTTCGTTGCCCAGGCTGGAGTGCAGTGGAAAAATCACGGCTCACTGTAGGCTTGAACTGGGCTCAAACGAGCCTGCCACCTGAGCCTCCTGTGTAGCTGGGACTACAGGCGTCCACTACCATGCCTGGCTAATTTTTACTTTTTTTTTTTTTATTTTGTAGAGACGGAGTTTCACTATGTTGCCCAGGCTGGTCTTGAACTCCTAGGCTCAAGGGATCCTCCCACCTACGGCCTCCCAAAGTGCTGGGATTACAGCCATGAGCCACTGTGCCTGGCCTTTGAAAGGTTTCTTACAGCCCATTCAAGACTCATAGCCCTGTTCGCCTTCCCTTTGCAGCCATCCTCCGTAACTGTGACTTCTCCAGGACAGTCTCTCCAGGATGGCTGACTCTGGGGTAATGAGTTCATTCCCCAAGGGTTTTCCGAATGCTCTGCCCTACGGCATCCATCTCCGAGGCATCCTAATGAACTTGGAGCAAAGCTAAAAGCCCGACAAGAATAAGCTGACAGACCTGTTTGCTCCCCTGGCTAAAATGGAATCCAAATTCATTTTGGCCTCAACTTCAGGGGAGATGGTTTGAAGTTGTGCTTGGTGCATTTTTCTCAGCCTGTGCTATGGTCAGAATGTTTATGTCCCCCCTACCCCCCCCAAATTCCTATATTGAAATCCAAAGCCCCAAGGTGATGCTGTTAGGAGGTGGGACCTCTGAGAGGTGGTTAAGTCATGAGGATGGAGCTCTTATGAATGGGACTCATGATCTTGTAAAGAGCTCTGACAGAGATCCAGGAATGCTTTATGTTTTAGTTTGTTTTTTTTTTTAACTTGTTTGCTGTGTGTGTGTGTGTGTGTGTGTGTGTGTGTGTGTGTGTGTATTTTTTTTTTTTTCAGATGGAGTCTCACTCTGTAGCCCAGGCTGGAGTGCAATGGTGCGATCTCAGCTCACTGCAAACTCTACCTCCCAGATTCAAGTGATTCTCCTGCCTCAGCCTCCCAAGTAGGTGGGATTACAGGTGCCCACCACCACACCTGGCTAATTTTTTTTCTATTTTTGTAGAGACAGGGTTTCACCATGTTGGCCAGGCTAATCTTGAACTCCTGACCTCAGGTGATCCACTCACCTCCCAAAGTGCTGGGATTACAGGGGTGAACCACTGCACCCGGAGTTGGTTTTGTATTTTAATATAACAGTGCTTCTTCTACTTTTCCACCACATTCTGGGGAAAACAGAACCACTGAGGCAACTGGCTTCCCTGACTCTGGCTACCCAAGACCCCACCCAGAGGGCTGAGGTGCTGGATCAAGGCTGTACCTGTAGGTTGCACACTACACTCCCCAGCCCACTGTGGGGAAGCTGTTCTCTACCATCGGTTCCCCAAATTTGGTTGGGATCAGAATCCTCTGGGAATGTACAGAGACTAAGGCCCTGCTCTACCCACCTCCATGACCTTAGAGTTCTGTCTTAGCTCTCTTGGAGATTATGATAAAACCACTGCTCTATAGGCAACCAGAGCTTCTCAGACTTTGCTGTACATCTGAACCACTAGGGGGACTTTTAAGGATCCCGATTCCAGCTGGGTGCAGTGACTCACGTCTGTAATCCCAGTGCTTTGGGAATCTGCAGCGGAGGATTGTTTGAGCCCAGGAGTTCAAGACCAGCCTGGGCAGCACAGTAAGACCCCATCTCTACAAAAAATTTAAAAATTATCTGGGTGTGGTGGCACACGCCTGTGATCCCAGCTATTCAGGAGGCTGAGGCAGGAGGATCGCCTGAGCCTGGAATTTTGAGGCTGCAGTGAGCTGTAATCATGCTACTGCACTCCAGCCTGGGCAACAGAGACCCTTTCTCAAAAAACCCCAAAAATATAAAATTAAAAAAATAAAGATCTTGATGCCCAAGTCAAACCCCAGGCCCTTTAAGCCACAATCTCTGGGGGAGGACTGAGGCATCAGTGGAAGTTGAAGCTTCCCAGGTGATTTTTTTTTTTTTGAGACAGGCTCACTCTGTTGCCCAGGCTGGAGTGCAGTGGTGTGATCTCGGCTCACTGCAACCTCCGACTCCTAGGTTCAAGTGACTCTCCTGCCTCAGCCTCCCAAGTACCTGGGATTACAGGTGCATGCCACCATGCCTAGCTTAATTTTTGTATTTTTAGTAGAGATGGGGTTTCACCATGTTGGTCAGGCTGGTCTTGAACCCCTGACCTCAAGTGATCCGCCTGCCTTGGCCTCCCAAAGTGCTGGGATTACAGGCATGAGCCACCACACCCGGCCTTCCCAGGTGCTTTTAATGTGCAGCCGCGTTTGAGACACACTGCTCAAGTCTGCATCTAGCTGGAGCATCCCACACTTTGGTGTGTATGTCATGAAACCCGTATCTCAGGCTCTCACTCAACAGGACTGGCTGGGACCTCGGGGAGGCTGCATGCTGCTACTCACAGCCTGGTGGGAGACATCAGCTTCAGTATCCCCTGGAGCTCGTTAGCAATGCAGAATCTCAGGTCCTACCCAAACCTACGAAGTCAAATCTGCGGGTTTTTTTGTTGTCGTTGTTTGTTTTTTGGTTTGTTTTTTTTTTTTTTGAGACAGAGTCTCGCTTTGTTGCCTAGGCTGGAGTGCAGTGACGCGATCTTGGTTCACTGCAACCGCCGCCTCCCGGGTTCAAGCGAGTCTCCTGCCTCAGCCTCCCGAGTAGCTGGGATTACAGGCGCGAGCCAACACGCCTGGCTAATTTTTGCATTTTTAGTAGAGACGGGGTTTCACCATGTTGGCCAGGCTGATAACAAACTCTGACCTCAAGTGATCCGCCCACCTTGGCCTCCCAAAGTGCTGGGGTTACATGTGTGAGGCATTGCACCCAGCCGAATCTGCGTTTTAACCCAGGTGATTCAGGTTTACGTTAGAGTTTGAAAAGTTCTGAGCTAGACCAGCAGGGCCCAGTCCTGCCTTATGCAGGGTCCAAGATGAAGAGCCTGGCTGAAGACACGTGGGTCAGTCATAACAGTGGTGGACAGCAGAGGTGCTGTTCTCCTGACCCTTAATGTTATTCACAGCCCCATCAGCTTTTTAGATTCCTCTTTTAGATAACTTACTAACTCTAGAAGCTCTTTGAGAGGCCACACATCAGAAAAGACACTATCAATTTCTCCTTGTCCTCCTGGCATTTGCATAGCATCTTCCATCCAACGCTTGAAATGTATTTCAGATGTCAACCCACCAGCCTACCCCAGGAAGTGATTTTAGACACCTTCCCTGTATCATTGCTATTTCTCAAAATAACACAGATTGTTGGAGCTGATGGGAATTTAGCTCTTGACTGGATTCCTTTATCTGGTTGCGGAAGAAAGCTTTTTTTTTTTTTTTTTTTTTTTTTTTTTAGACAGGCAGAGTCTCACTCTGTCGCCCAGGCTGGAGTACAGTGGCACGATCTTGGCACACCACAACCTCCACCTCCTGGGTTCAAGAAATTGTCCTGCCTCAGTCACTCGAGTAGCTGGGATTACAGGCATGTGCCACCATGCCCAGCTAATTTTTATATTTTTAGTAGATATGGAGTTTCAACATATTGGCCAGGCTGGTCTTGAACCCCTGACCTCAAGTGATCTGCCCACCTTGGCCTCCCAAAGCGTTGGGATTACAGGCGTGAGCCATGGCGCCTGGCTTTTGTGTGTGTGTGTGTGTGTGTGTATATGTGTGTGTGTGTAAGAGAGAGGGTCTTGCTCTGTCACCCAGGCCGGAGTGCAGTGGTGCAATCATAGCTCACTGCAGCCTTAATCTCCTGGGCTCAAGTGATCCTCCAACCTCAGCGTCTGGAGTAGTTAGGACTACACCCAGCTAATTTTTAAACTTTTTGTACAGACAGGATCTCACTGTATTGCCCAGGCCGGTTTTGAACTCCTGGCTCAAAGGATCCTCCCACCTTGGCATCCCAAAGCATTGGGATTACAGGCATGAGCCACCACTCCTGGCTGAAAGCTGCTTTTTAATAGCACTAAATTTTACCATGATGTTTTCAAAAGCTTTTCTTCCCTCTCAAAAGAAGAAAATATATTCATCTTTGAAAAAATTGCTGTGTTTCATTGTGAGGTAGTGGGAAGGCCCACTGGCTGGCCATGAGCTAACTGGGAGCCCCTCAAGGGCAGAGGCCTTGTTTTTTTTAGCTTCTGTGCCCCCATTGCCAAGATAGGGCGGGCACGCCGTAGCCAGTCCCTATGAACGTGACTCTGGTGTGCATGAAAGAATAAACTGAGGCTTCAACAGAGACTTTAATTCCCCATGGCTGCTGCTGTTTCAGTTCTTAAATGGAGCTAAATTAACTCTGGGTTGTGAAGGGTAATGACCCAGAGTCATGCAGATGTACTGATGGCTCCAACAACTTCCTTACTTTGAGAAACAGTGATGATACAGGGAAGGTGTCTAAAACCCCTTGTTAGGGTATGGGATAGGCTGGTGGGCTGACATCTGAAATACATTCCAAGCAATGGATGAAAGATGTGGCTACTAGAATTAATTAAATCATCTAAAAGAGGAGCCCCCTAGTGGTGCTCGGCTTTGAGGCACAGGTGTGAGGTCTCTGCTCTCACAGAGCTTACTGCCTGGTGAGGGGCGCCATGGACTGCTGGAATCACCATGCTGATCCATGAATATTCTTATGAGGGAGGCGCCCGGCTCTCAGTGTATAACCAAAGAACTTGACCTGGACTTTAGCATCTACATTGCTTTCTATGATAGATTCTGAAGCCGTAAGATGGAATGAGACTTGCCCGCCCTCAAAGAGCTCAGGTGCTGAGGGAGAGATGTATAAATAAGCAATGATCATATTGTCATGGGTGTATGTGGGCTGGCTGTCCACAGAACCCATGCTCCCCTTCCTCTCACAGGAATGTCATGGTGACAGGGCAGGTGGCCCCTGGATAGATATTCCCCAGGGTCGCTTGCAGCTACGTGTGGCTTTGTGACTCACGTCTTGCCAATGGAGATGCCGACGATGAATGAGTGGAAATGATGGGTGCCGCTTCCAGGCCTGGGCTTTCAGATATCATTTGGGGACCTCTGAGCTCTTTCCCATCACACGTGGATGTGTCTACAGCTTAAGTTCAACAAGGGCAGGCGAGGACAGTGGCCTGAGTGGTGCCTCCAGGTGTGGTCCCTGGACCGGAGGCATCAATGTCCCCTGGGAACGTGTCAGAAATGCAAATGCTTGGGCCCACTCAGACCTACCAAAATAGAAGCTCTGGGGCCAGGCACAGTGGCTCACGCCTGTAATCCCAGCACTTTGGGAGGCCGAGGCGGGTGGATCACCTGAGGTCAGAAGTTTGAGACCAGCCTGGCCAACATAGTGAAACCCCGTCTCTACTAAAAATACAAAAATTAGCCAGGCATGGTGGCAGGTGCCTATAATTCCAGCTACTGAAGAGGCTGAGGCAGGAGAATCACTTGAACCCAGGAGGCGGAGGTTGCAGTGAGCTGAGATCGCGCCATTGCACTCCAGCCTGGTCCACAGAGCGAGACCCGATCTCAACAACAACAACAAAAAAGAAGCTCTGGGCGTGGGAAAGTGCTTAACAAGGCCTCCAGGTGGTTCTGATGCTCAAGACAATCTGAGAAGCACAGTCCTGGGGGACGAGAGAGAAACAAAACGGAAAGAGCCCACGTCCCCAAATTCCCCCTGGAGCTGAGCGGCCCCGTTAGCCTGGCTTCTTACTTCTGGGCTCATATGAGAAAGTGAAATACATTTCCACACTCTTTAAGTCACCGTGTTTCTGCGTCTCTTGGTCACAGCAGCTTTGCATCTCACTAACCGATACAGTATTTCAACAGAGGTTAGTATACTGGATGGCTGCCTTGAAAATGCTTTTAAACCTGAGACAGAAGTACTCATTTAAGAGCTTGTATTTGGGAAACTCAATACAATGAGGCACTCAGGTCTAACAAGGATTCCACCTAGTGAAACTGTGTTTATTTCTAGGGTCTAACATTTTACCCTAAAATTCTGTTAGATGCTAGGCCCACCAGATAGCACTGCTTTTGCACCAACATTCAGGCTGGGTTCTCCTAGCGTTCATCGTGAGCATTAAGATTCCCCCCTTTCAGCTGTAAGAAAAATTGGCTTTGAATTGTCACAAGAATTTCACTAACTGAGTTGACATCTTGGCATTCCCTCAAGAATAGAGGTCACGTTCGCTTCCACACAGGGATCTAAAAGGGAGGGGAGGGCCGGGTGCGGTTGCTCACACCTGTAATCCCAGCACTTTGGGAGGTGGGCAAATCAGTTGAAGTCAGGAGTTCCAGATCAGCCTGGCCAACATAGTGAAACCCTGTCTTTACTAAAAATACAAAAATTAGCCAGGTGTGGTGGCAGGTGCCTGAAGTCCCAGCTACTTGGGAGGCTAAGGCAGGAGAATCGCATGAGTCTGGGAGGTGGAGGTTGCAGTGAGCAGAGATCGCGCCACTTGCACTCCAGCCTGGACAACAGAGCAAGACTCTATCTCAATAATGATAATAATAATTAATAATAATAATAATAATAATAATAATAAAAGGCAGGGGAAGTCCTAATTCACCTGGATGTCATAATCGCTGTGGCAGCAAAGGGCACAGCCTTTCTATCTGTACACGTGGATGTGTAAGGTGGCATTTTAGCACCACATGATCAATTCTGCTGTTTCTCAGTCATCCTAGGCTGGAGCTGAATGTCCTGACCCCTGAAGGGAGTGCAGGGAACGAGGTGCCCTCCCACCCAGACACCCAGGGCTCTACGTTTGCAGTAGGAACACCGTCCCCCTCGCAGGGGGATGACTCTTCCCCACTCCGACTTCAACCACTTTGCAAATTAAGTACTGTGATAGGCAAGCTTGATACATTTTACAGTATGGGTCTCAATTACTCAACTTACATCTTGAGTGCCCGATAGCATCCAGCTGGTCTAATAACACCTAATCACACAGATGCTAAACAAGTCCAGGGATTCGAAGCTTTGGGCAGGGCATGGGTTGTAATGGACTTGAGAGACAACCACAGTTTCTTAGGAAGAGCACGCGGGGTCCGAACGACGCTGGGGCCTGCTGGTCACCTGTCACCTTATCTGGTCCTTATTAAGGTCAAGAAAATTAGAGAAGGTTGGCAGACCAGCGGTTATACTTAAGAACATTTGACAAATTAGTGCAGAATAAACAACAGAAAGAGAAACTAGATCCACCTTCCGTGGGACCCTTCACGCTATCCACTCCCTCACCTAGCTGGCCACCCAGACACTCCCTGACCATTGCTTCGGCCTTGCAGGTAGAAATCAAAACTCTTAATCAACAGGAGAAGATGTTAGAAGTTTACTCGTGGCCTGAGGCTCTTACATCAGCCCTTACTGACTGTGATGTTAATTCTTTCTGACTGCTGGGTTATTCAAGTTACTCAAACTGGACCACGGTGTTGACCGGCACGTATGGAGGAACACAAACCTGTGTCTGGTGTGTTTGTACAGTCTATAAACCTTACAGTCTAGAATGAATTCATTGTCATTCGAGTCTATCGCAGCTCTACTGAAGTGGGCAGATCACCACACGGGGGACGAAAAGGTAGTTGAGCGATGGCGTGGCTGGGCCACGTCTCAGCTTCCTAGAGCTGTGGGAACAAATTACTACAAACCGTGTGGTTCTAAGCAACAAAAATTTATTCTCTCACAGCTCCGGAGGCTGGAAGTCCAAAATCAAGGTGTTGGCAGGGTCACGCTCCCTCTGAAGGCCCCAGGAGAAAATCCTTCTTCCTCATCTTTTCCTATCATCTGGTGACCTCTGATAACACTTGACATTCAATCCTTGATTTGTAGACATCACTCCAATCTCTGCCCCCATCTTCACATAACCCACTTCTCTGTGTCTCACCGTGTCATCTTCGCTCCTTATAAAGATACCAGCCATTGGTCTTAGGTCCCACTTTAATCCAGTATGACCTCAACTTAATCATATTTGCAAAGACCCACTTTCCAAATAAAGTCATATTCTGAAGTTCTGGATATATATGAATTCTGGGGGTAAACTCTGAACTCAGTATAGTCAGGAACCCAGAAATGTGGCCACAAGTCTGTGCTCACTACTACAAAGAATCAGATTTTGTTGTTGTTGTTCTTTGTAATACCTACAAGAAACGCCTCTCTGACAATTGTATGGCGTTTCATGGCTGTGGGAGAGGAATGTATCTCAGGGTGATGGGAGCATGAACTGAGAAGCAGAATTTATAACCTATACTCACCTCAATTTTTTTCACTTGTAAAATGAGAAAATTGAGATCCGGCCAGCTAAGTCATTTGTCCAAAGCCATTAAATAGCTAATAAGCAGCAAAAATAAGGTGAGAACCCCATATCATTCATTCATTCATTAAACACATACTATGTCAGGCATCTCACTGAAGAAATGAGGAAGTGGGTGGAGGTGGAATATGATTCCTGCCTTTTTTTTTTTTTTAAATGGAGTCTCACTGTGTTGCCCAGGCTGGAGTGCAGCGGCACGATCCCGGCTCACTACAACCTCCGCCTCCCAGGTTCAAGCGATTCTCTTGCCTTAGCCTCCCAAGTAGCTAGGATTACAGGCATGCGCCACCACGCCCAGCTAATATTTGTATTTTTAGTCGAGATGGCTAGGCTGGTCTCGAACTCTGGACCTCAGGTGGTCCGCCCGCCTTGGCCTCCCAAAGTGCTGAGATTACAGGTGTGAGCCACCGTGCCTGGCCCGTGATTCCTGCCTTCTATTTATGTGGAGACAAAACTAACAGCAGCAAACTCAACAATCAAATCAAGGTGCTACCACAGAGGTCAGTAAAGGGTAGAGGGGCCAAGAAGGAGATGATCGATTCAGGTAAGGAGAAGGTTAGGAAGGGCTTTATACTCAATTTGAGCCTAGGAAGATGAATGGGACCCACTAGGCACTGTGATCAGAGAGGGGGAGTTCCAGGCAGAAGTCCCATGCAAGTGTGGTGTTGCAGCATGGGTAAAGACGGAGCAACTGAGAACCAGCCTGGCACTTTCAGGAAACCCTGGGTGGTCCCTTATTCCTGAAGCCCAGGAGGTCAGGGAGCAGACCAGGAAGGGCCTTGAGTGCCACACTAAGAGTGTGGGACTGGTATCATGTAGGCAGGTGTCATCAAATGAAGGGTTATTTAACAGAGAAGTAAAAAGATTGCTGTTACATTTTATTTTTTTGATTGAGAGTGTGGGGGGGTGGGTCTCACTGTGTTGCCCAGGCTGGTCTTGCACTCTTGGGCTTAAGTGATCCTCTGGCCTCAGCCTCCCAAGTAGCTGGGATTATAGGCGTACCACCATGCTCTGCTGTTACATTCTAGAAAGGTCACTTCAACCTAGTGTGGAGAATGGATCAGAGGTGAACAAGATAAACAAGCAGACCGAGGTGGGCGGATCATGAAGTCAGGAGTTCGAGACCAGCCTGGCCTGAACATAGTGAAACCCCATCTCTATTAAAAAATACAAAAAATTAGCCAGGCATGGTGGCATGCACCTGTAACCCCAGCTACTCGGGAGGCTGAGGAAGGAGAATCGCTTGAACCCAGGAGGCAGAGGTTGCAGTGAGCTGAGATCGTGCCACTGAACTTCAGCCTGGGCGACAGAGCAAGACTCCGTCTTAAAAAAAAGAAAAATCAAACAGACCAATGAGGAAACCATGGGAGTCTAGATACTGGCTCTGGTAGGGAGACGGGGTGGAGAGCCAGGTGGTGAGGGTGGAAGAGCCAGGGGATGTGGTTAGGATCTGGATGCTGGGGAGGGGGGAAAGGAAGGCATATCTGGGCTGACCACCAGGGAGATGGTGCTGTGCTGTTCCGCACGCTTAGGAAAAGAGCAAGTGGAATGGGGTGCAGAGTTCACATAGGGCCAGGCTGAACTTAGGAGGCCTTTGGGAAACTGAGAAGCACATGGCCAGCAGACAGGAGGACTGATAGAGATGGAATTCACAGGGAGTTTGGGCTGAAGACGGAGCTGAGCAACTCATGACTTGTAGGGGCAGGGGAAGTCCTGGCTGTGGGAGGCTCATGGGCCAGGGGGAGCATGGGTCAGAAGGCTGGGCTGCGTGCAGAGCCTTTGGCCCAAAGCAGCATGGGGGGGCGAGCAGAGGAAGGAAGCCGCATGCTCACTTCTCCAGTAGCTAGCTTCCTTCCTTCCTTCCCTCCCTCCCTCCTTCCTTTCTTTCCTTTTTTTTTTTTTTTTTTTTGAGACAGAGTCTCACCCAGGCTGGAGTGCAGTCGTGTGATCTCAGCTCACTGCAACCTCCGCCTTCTGGGTTGAAGCAATTCTCCTGCCTCAGCCTCATGAGTAGCTGGGATTACAGGTGCGCACCACCACACCCAGCTAATTTTTTTTTATTTTTATTTTTAGTAGAAATGGGGTTTCACTATGTTGGCCAGGCTGGTCTTGAACTCCTGACCTCAAATGATCCCCCCGCCTTGGCCTCCCACAGTGCTGGGATGACAGGTATGAACCATCGCACCCAGCCCTGAAGGTTTCTTTCTATGTTCTTCAATCTGTACTTTTCAGATTTGTGGAGGTAAAAGATTACTTAGTGCCAATAAAACTAATTATTCTTTCCAGACCAAATATTGAAATGGTGCTAAATGGAGAAGTGACAGATGAGCTATGGTGTCACCACCAACATCAGATTACACAGCACGGATGGACAGTGTGTTGTTCAATGAGGTTGCTGGCCATCGCCACTGGGTGCACCGTGGGGCCTACTCTCGGGAGGCAGCCGCCTACAGCGGAAAGCATGCAGACAAGTGGTTCTGTGAATTATCTGAAGCAAATGCATTGTACTTCACAGACTCTGTAGTAGAAAACCACCAGTGTGAATTTAGTGGGTCACGCGCTTTGATCAGGGAGAATGAGTTCGCAGCAGTTCATCCATCCACGCCGCCCAGCCTGACTCCCTTTCATGCCATCCCATCGGCACGGCTTTTCAGTATTCTTGCTAGGGTTAGGGTGCAGCCTCCTACTTCAGAGCAAAGCCACAAGAGCAGAAGTCATGAGGCCACCCTCCCTGCCTCTCTCCGGGAGGGTGTCTCCTGCCCAGCACAGGGCCCAGCCCCCTCCCCTCACTTTAGTCCATTCTGATGTGGGACTTTGAGGCTGTCCAAGAAAGATGAGGTGACTCCATCCTCTGGGACCAGCTACAGGAAATGCTGTTTCTATTTTTTTTTTTTTTTTTTGAGATGGAATCTCGCTCTGTCACCCAGGCTGGAGTGCGGTGGCGTGATCTTGGCTCACTGCAACCTCTGCCTCCCAGGCTCAGGCCATTCTCCTTCCTGAGCCTCCTGAGTTGCTGGGACTACAGGCGCACGCCACCATGCCCAGCTAATTTTTGTATTTTTAGTAAAGACACGGTTTGACCTTGTTGGCCAGGATGGTCTCGAACTCCTGACCTCATGATCCACCCACCTCGGCCTCCCAAAGTGCTGGGATTACAGGTGTGAGCCACTGCACCTGGCCAGGAAATGCTGTTTCTAAAGGCTGCTGCCAGCTGCTGCCAACTATGTTTTATCACTTACCATTTCCTTTTTAAAAAAATACCAAATTCACATTGAAATGCTTGAATTAAAAAAGTATTGAGGTTCAATTCACTTACAATAAAATTAATCATTTTAAAATGAGCAACTCAGTGACGTTTAGTACATCCACAATGTTGTGCAACCACCAACACTATTTAGTTCCAAAGCACGTCCACACCTTCAGAATAAAACCTCATTCCATTAAGCAGTTCTCCATTAAGCAGTTCTCTTCACTTCCCGCTCCTCCCAGATCCTGGCAACCAACAGTCTGCTTTCTGTCTCTACAGATTTACCCATTCTGGACATTTCACATAAATAAAATCACAAAATATGCAGTCTTTTGTGACTGGATTCTTCCTTTGTTTTCTTTTTTACTTAGTTTTTTATTTTTTATTTTTTTTTTTTTTGAGACGGAGTCTCACTCTGTCACCCAGGCTGAAGTGCAGTGGTGCAATCTCGGCTCACTGCAACCTCCGCCTCCCGAGTTGAAGTAATCCTCCTGCCTCAGCCTCCTGAGTAGCTGGGATTACAGGTGCCCACCATCACGCCCAGCTAATTTTTGTGTTTTTAGTAGAGACGGGGTTTTGCCATGTTGGCCAGGCTGATCTGGAGCTCCTGAGCTGAGGTGATCCACCCGCCTCGGCCTCCTAAAGTGCTGGGATTACAGGTATGAGCCACTGTGTCTGGCTCCTCAATTTTTTTTTGTTGTTGTTGTTAAATAGAGACAGGGGTCTCACATTGCTGTCTAGGCTTGTCTCAAACACCTGGCTCCAAGCGATCTTCTTACCTTGGCCTCCCAAAGTGCTGGGATTGTAGGCATGAGCCACCGCACCTGGCCAGCTTTTTTCACTTAGTGTAATGTTTTCAGGATTCATGCATGTTGTAGCATGTATCAGTATTTCATTCCCTTTTATGGCTGAAGAGTATTCCATGATGCAGGTGCACCACATTTAGTTTATCGGCCCATCTGCTGATAGACATTTGGGCTGTTTCCATCTTTTGGCTATTGTGAATAATGCTGCCACGAACATGTATTTGAGTACCTATTTTGAACCATTTTACATTCTCATCAGCAATAGCTCCAATTTCTTCACATCCTTGCCAACATATGTTATTTTCCACTTTTTGGGTTATAGCCATCCTCGTGGGTGTGAAGTGGTACCCTCTCTTGGTTGTGATTCGCATTTGCCTAATGACTAATGATGTGGAGCATCTTTTCATATGCTTGTTGGCATCATTTACTTTAAAAAAAAAGTCTTAACATTAAATATTTTGAATTTTGTAACAATTCAAGTTTTCAGAAAGGTTGCAAGTATAGCATAAAGAAAAGTTTCCTGGCCGGGCGCAGTGGCTCACACCTGTAATCCTAGCACTTTGAGAGGCCAAGGCAGGCAGATCACTTGAGCTCAGGAGTTCGAGACTAGCCTGGACAACATGGTGAAACCCCATCTCTACAAAAAAAATTAGCCGGGTGTGGTGGCACACACTTGTAGTCCCAGCTACTCGGGAGGCTGAGGCTACAGTGAGCTGAGATCACGTCATTGCACACCAGCCTGAATGACAGAGCGAGACCCTGTCTCAAAAAAAGAAAAGAAAAAAAAAGTTTCTTGAACCACTTGAATGGGAGATGTCAACCTAACTGCCTGTCAGCCCTGAATACTTCTTATTTCCTACACAGAAAGACATGATAGAGCCATCAAAGTTAGGAAACTATTATTGATACGTTACCATCATCTAATCCTCTAACGCTATTCAGATTTCATCAAATGCACCAGTAATGCCCTGCACGGTAGTAAATTCAGCTGAGAATCACACGCCACATGGAGTTCTTATGCCTCTTTAACCCCTCAGCCCTTCCTTGACTTTGACGACCCACAGCACTTTCCAAGATAGCGGCCGTTATTTTGTAGAACACCCCTCAATTCGGGCTTCTTTTCTGTCTCCTCATAAGATGCAGGTGTTATCCTTTGCCAGGAACATCACAGAAGACAAACTGCATTCTTCTCATTGCATCCTATCCAGTAGCCCAAGATGTCACCTTGTCCCATTAATGATGTTCGTTGTCATCACGTGATTAAGGTGGTGTCTGCCAAGTTTCTTCACTGTAGTTACTTTTTATTTTTGTAATGAATAAGAATTTGTGGAAAGATACCTTGAAACTGTCTAAACTTGTTCCTTATCAAACTTTCAATATATTCAATTATTGGCTGCTATTAGGAGGCACTCAGGGTTTTCTGTTTTATTCAGTAGGCTACAATTCATTACTATCAGTATTTATTTTGATGTATAAATTGTCCTGGATTTGGCCAGTGGGAGCCCCTTCAAGCTGGTTCCTGTGTCTTTCTCGAATGTCTTTATCATTTTTGATTAATTTCTGACTTTCCTACCATTGCCTATTCAAGGTGCTAGAAAAAGGCTCCTGTTTCAAATTCCTACCAAACTGCTGATTTCCTCTTTCTCTCACCCTGGCCATGTGTCTCTGTCAAGATAAAAAAAAGCACTGCAAGAGGCTGGGCGTGGTGGCTCACTCCTGTAATCCCAACACTTTGGGAGGCTGAGGAGGGCGGATCACCTGAGGTCAGGAGTTCAAGACCAGCCTGGCTAACATGGTGAAACCCCATCTCTACTGAAAAAAATACAAAAATTTGCCAGGCGTGGTGGCCCATGCCTGTAGTCCCAGCTACGCAGGAGGCTGAGGCAGGAGAATCACTTCAACCCAGGAGGCGGAGTTTGCAGTGAGCTGAAATAGTGCCACTGCAATCCAGCCTGGGCGGCAGAGCGAGACTTCATCTCAAAGAAAAAATAAAAAATAAAAAGAAGCACTGCAAAAGAGATAAAATGTAGTTACCCACAGGGCAGAGATTCTCTCTCTCTCTCTTTTTTTTTTTTTTGAAACAGGGTTTCACTCCGTCACCCAGGCTGGAGTGAAGTGGTACCATCATGGCTCACTGCAGCCTCAACTTCCTGGGCTTAAGTGATCCTCCCACCTCAGCCACCTGAGTAGCTGAGACTACAGGTGTGTGCCACCATGCTGGACTAATTTTTATTATTTTTTACTTTTTGTAGGACAGGGTCTTGCCATGTTGCCCTGGATGGTCTGGAACTCCTGGGCTCAAGCAGTCCTCCCACTTTGCCTACCAATGTGCTGGGATTATACATGTGGGCCATTGCGTCCTCCCTGGACCGAGATTCTTGAATATGTAGTGCCCAGCACCAGCAGGAAGTCAGTGAGTAGATTTGACCATTGGTTGGATGTATATCTGTGACTTAGGGTCCATAAAGATCTTTTGAAGAACTGGGCACTAATCCCAACTTCGCATTAGACAATGTTGCCAAGCAGGTGGGTTGTTTTTTAGCATATTTGAGAAGGGGGAAAGAGCCCACTAACTTTCTGGGCAAATTTGGGCAAATTACCAACCATTGTGGGTCTCAGTTTCGACTGTTAACAGGGTTGCCTGAGCATTGCCAGTATATATGATGAAGTATTGGCCAGGTGTGGTGGCTCTTGCCTGTAATCCCAGTCTTTGGGAGGTCGAGGCGGGAGGATCGCTTGAGTCCAGGAGTTCAAGAACAGCCGAGGCAACATAGTACGACCTCATCTCTACAAAAAATAAATAAAATTGGCCAGGTATGGTGGCACATGCTTGTAGTCCCAGATACTCAGGAGGCTGAGGCATGAGAATTGCTTGAGCCTGGGAGGTTGAGGTTACAATGAGCTGAGATTGTGCCACTGCACTCCAGCCTGGGCGACAGAGTGAGACTTTGTCTCACAAAAAAAAAAAAAAAAAAAAAAAAAAGAGGAGAAAGAAAAAGAAAACGAAGTACTTACAAATATAAGGGTTGGCTCCTCATTGGTTATCAGATGGAAGACAGCCCCTCTTTAGCCCAGGACAACGTCGAAGATTGACTAGACATTCAGACTCACAAGACGATGACAGAACGTGCTCCGATCTATTCAGAAGGATGGGGACAGAGGCCCTGGCCTGCCAGCAGAACAATGCCAGGCTGCCTTGTGTGAGGAGTCCTGGAGAATTTCTCACAGCAGAGTATGTAACATCCAGGAGTTATCTTAGCCCCATGTGATGGTCATGGTGCAAACAGACGGGGCCTTCACAGGGAGGTGCAGGGTCTGCGTGGGAAGATGCGCACCACAGGGCAGTATCTCGGGGACGTGACTTTCACAAGCGTCACTGTCTTGGTTCACCTGGGCTGCTATAACAAAATACCATAAATTGGGTAGGTTTTTTGGAGACGGGGTCTCACTGTCACCCAGGCTGGAGTGCAGTGGTACGATCATGACTCATTGCAGCCTTGACATCCCAGGCTCAAGTGATCCTCCTGCCCCAGCCTCCCAAGTATCTGGAACTACAGGTGCACGCCACTACGCCTGGCTAAGTTTTGTATTTTTAGTAAAGATGGGGTTTCGCTATGTTACCCAGGCTGGTCTTGAACACCTGGGCTCAAGTGATCCACCCGCCTTGGCCTCCCAAAGTGCTGGGATCACAGGCATGAGCCATCATGCCCGTCCTGGGTAGCTTTTAAACTACAAAATTTATTCTCACAGTTCCCTGAGCTTAGAAATTCAGGCTCAGGGTGCCAGCATGGTCAGGTTGTGACAAGGGCCCTTTTCTGGGCGGCAGACTGTTCACCTCTCACTGTGTCCTCACATGAGGGAAGGGGCAAACAGGCTCCTCAGGCTTCTTTTATAAGGGCACAAGTCCAATTCATGAGGGCTCTGCCCCCATGATCTAATCACCTCCTAAAGCCCCAGTACTACTGCACTGGGGATTAGATTTCAACACAGAATTTTTTTTGGAGGGGTGGGGGGGTCACAAACATTCAGACCATAGCAGTCACCAAAATGCTGAGAAGTTCAAAGCATGGCGTCTACATCAGATATTTAAATTCCATTCCTAGCTACTCCCAGTCCATATGTAATTCACCAGTCAGGGGCCATTTTTACCATAAGCAATGTTGCCTGGCAATGTAGTTGACATATAGCATCTTAACTGGTTTACAGGGTGAGGCAGGCAGAATAATGGCTTCCCAAAGTTATCTGTGTCCTACTCCCCAGAACCTGTGAACATGATAATGGGGGTTTTAGGTTGCAGATGCAATTAACTAAGGTTGCTAACTAGCTGACCTTAAGACAGGCAGGTTATCATGGATTATCCTAGTGGACCCTATGCAATCACAAGGGGCCTTGTAAGTGAAAGAGTGAGGCAGGAGAGTCGGTGTCAGTCAGAGAGAGAGATGAAGATGCTACACTGCTGGCTTTGAAGGTGGAAGGGGGCCACAAGTGAAGGGAAGTGTCCAGCCTCTAGAAGCTGGAAAAGGCAAGAAGGATTTTCTCCTGGTGTTTCCTGAAGAAACACAGCTCTGCCAACAGCTTGGTTTTACCCTACTGAGATTCATTTTGGACTTCTGACCTCTAGAACTGTAATATAATAAACTGGTGTTAAGTCACTAAGCATGTGGTAACTTGCTACGGCAGCAATACAGGGTAACAGAGCTAGGTAGTTGCCAAGGTTGGGTTCTCATGCAGCAGAGGAAGAGGGTGTGTGAACCTTTCAAGCAGTCCTGACATATAAGGCTGGCAATCTTCACCTCCTGGGTTCAAGTGATCCTCCCACCTCAGCCTCCTGAGTAGCTGGGACCACAGGTGTGAGTCACCACGACTGGCTAATTTTTGTATTTATTGTAGAGACGGGCTTCATCATATTACCCAGGCTGGTGTCAAAATCCTGAGCTCAAGTGATCTGCCTGCCTCAGCCTTCCAAAGTGTTGGAATTACAGGCGTGAGCCGCTGCGCCTGGCCTAGATTCTCCATTTCTTCTGTGTGATCTTTGGTTGTTTGTGTTTTCCATAGAATTTATCCATTTCATTTCAGCTGCTGAATTTATGGCCATAACATTCTTTGTAATATCCTTTTTATGTATGTAGGTCTGTAGTGATGTTCCGTCTTTCATTTCTGATATTGGTCATTTGTATTTTTTTTTTCTTGGATGGTCTGGCTAGAGATTTATTTTTATGACTCTTTTCACAAAAGCAGCTTTTGGTTTCATTGACTCTTTTTTCTGTCCTCAATTTTACTGATTTCTGCTTTATTATTCTATATTATTTCCTTTCTCTGCTTCTTTTGAATTTCTCTCTCTCTCTCTTTAGTTTATTAAAGCAAAAGCTGAGGTCAGTGATTAGAGAGACCTTCCTTTTTTTCTAAAATAAACATTTTTGCCTGACACAGGGATCAGGGTTCAGGCAGATGGGTGCCTGTGCAGACGTATGGACTGAGCTGCTCCTGCCGTAGCCAGCAACCCTGGGGCCCTGCAGCTGAGGCTGCATGGGGGTGGCTGCTGTCTGCTTGAGTGTCAGGCTTATTTGGTGACCATGAAGCTGCTGTACCTGGCCTTCCACAGCTGCCTCCTACTGGCCCTGCTCAGCGCATGGTGAACTGCTCCTGAGGATCATGCGTCACCCACAGGCGTGCACGCTGTCAGTGCTACCTCTTTCCTGTGGGATAAACTCAGCAGCTGAATCTGGATGTGGCAGTGGGCTGGGAGCAGCCTCATCCTGCTCAACTACCTGGAATTGGGAGTGAGGTGGGATAAGGTCACTGAGCCCATGCAGGGACAGAGGAACCTCTCGATGTGCTTTAGTTCTGGAGACTGCTTTGCTGCCCACAATTTCAGTGGCAGTCATGGATTGGAAGGAGTGAGCTCCAGGAGCTCTGCCGCCATTCTCCAGGAGCTAGATTCCTGGCCCGCACCTCTGTGGACCAGGAGAACGAGAGAATGCATAGATCGAAGAGGGGAGGCTGAGCACAATTGAAGTGTGGGGATATAGTCTCCTCTGTGTGACCATTATCATGGATTATCCTGGTGGAACCAATTACCATGGATTATCACAAGGGACCTTGTAAGTGAAAGGGCGAGCAGAAGAGTCAGTGTCAGAGTCAGAGAGAGATCTGAGGACGCTACACTGCTGGCTTTGAAGGTGGAAGGGGGCCACAAGCGAAGGGGAGTGTGCAGCCTCTAGAAGCTGGATAAGGCAAGAAAAAGGATTCTCTGTCATGCTGTTCAATGCTGGGATGACCATCTAGTGCAACTGAAGTGTGGGGATACGATCTCCTCTATGTGACTGTCATCTCCCTCTGCTCCCTCATGGGCACCATCGTGGTGCCTTCAAGAAGGCCTTTTACAGAAGGAAGCTGCTGCTCCACGTCATAGCTCTGGCGATTGGAATCCTCTAGTCCAATGTGCTCTCCTAGCTCATTCCTGGGGCTTTTGATTTCAACCCTCTGGAAGATGATTATGTGTCCAAGTCTGCAGTGGTGTCTGGGGGCTTTTATTTTTATTTTTCAGAGATCTTGAAGATGTTTCTCAAACAGGAAAATGAACATCACATAGACATAGCCATTATGCCTCTGAGAGGCTTCCTTCCAAGAAGCACCAGGAGGAGGGGGGTGATGGAGAAGCTGCAGAATGGGGACCTGGACCACATGAGCCCTCAGCACTGCCACAGTGAACTGGATGGCAAGCAGTCCATGATGGATGGGAAGGTCGTGGTGGGCTCACTCTCTGTGCTGGTTCTGCAGGCTCCCCAGAGTGCCTGCTGGAGCTGAAAGGTGTCCACTACTTTATCAGCACTCTGGCCTGGGTGATCACCCTAAGCAACAGCCTCCACAATGTCCTCAGCAGCCTGGCCACTGGCGCCTCTTTCACCGTCTGTGTGGTCCAAGGCCTCGGCACCTGGTGGCCGTCTTCCATGAGGAGTTCCCACATGACTTTGTCATCCTGCTTAGCGCTAGGAGGACCATTCAGCACTGTCTTCTTCAACCCCCTTCCGCCTGCTGCTATGTGGGTCTGGCCTTTGGCATCCTGGCCAGCAGCCACTTCTCTGCCAACTGAATTTTTGTGCTGGTTGGAGGAATGTTCTTGAATATTGCTGTGGTTGATATGTTCCCTGAGACGAATGAGGTCTGCCAAGAGGATGGGAGGAAGGGCAGCATCTCCATCCCCTTTGTCATTCAGAACCTGGGTCTGTTGGCCAGATTCACCGTCATGCTGGTCCTCGTGATATATTCAGGACAGATCCAGATTGGGTAGGGCCCTGCCAGGAGCCTGTGGGATGGGAAGTCAGGCCCTGGGCTGCCCGATCCCTGGCCTGAGGACTCGCCATCCACAAAGCACCGTGGAAGAGGTTGTTCCATGAAAAACTTACACAGATTGTATTCCCGCCTTCAGATGTCAGCGGTGTTTACAATGCTCTGTCCTAGGAAGAAACGTCCCTAGTAACCAGTCTCCAGGTAGTACCTCTCACCCTCTCCTCACCTCCTTTTCTCTCTGTGACTCTGGAACCTGAATGCAGCTTGCAAGACAAGCCTTTTTCTCTGATTACCCTCGCCTCTTTCCCTTGGAACCAGTGCTGAAAGATGTGTGTGTGTGTGTGTGCGCGCGTGTTTTGAGATGGAGATTTGCTCTGTCACCCAGGCCGGAGTGCAGTGGCACGATGTCAGCTCACTGAAACCTCCACCTTCCAGGTTCAAGCGATTCTCCTGCCTCAGCCTCCCCAGTAGCAGGGATTACAGGCACCCACAAACACACCTGGCTAATTTTTTTTTTTTTTTTTTTTTCAGTAGAGATGGGTTTTCGCCATGCTGGCCAGGCTGGTCTCGAACTCCTGACCTCAGGTGATCCATCTGTCTCAGCCTCCCAAAGTGCTGCCATTACAGGCGTGAGCCACTGTGCCCTGCCCAGTGCCGAAAGATTTTGAATCCTTTACCTGACAATGCAAAAATACAGCCAGTGGTTTTAACTTGGTTAGAAATATCAAGAGGTGAATCCATAGTTTGGGGCCCATGACATTGGCTGGGCATCCTGGACCTCCGGCTGGCCAGTTTTGAAACAGGTTCACCTCTTCTTACAGAGAAGATGCAGGAATCCCTCTTATTTTTTCAAAGTCTGCTTAGTTGCCTATTACTTCTCTCAGAGAGAATTCTAAGTGAGAACAGATGACAGGGTGAGAGGGGAGGCAGGGATCATCCGGAGTGGGAGAGAAAGTGGGACGGATGCTCTGTGTCTTGTCATTTTGCTCATCTGCTCCTAGCAGAATGCTGGGTATTGATTTGGGGGCAGCACCTGGTATTTCCTGGCTGTCCAGGTGAGCTAATGTGGAGGTAATGTAGCTTCCTGGACCTCCTCTTTCAGGTCAACACTGACAGAATGGAAGGTCAGAGAGTCTACAAGGAAACAATGTTTTGCTGTGATTCCCACTTCCCTTCCCCACTCCTATCTTCTAAGAGACTTGCAGGCTGGGTGCGGTGGCTCACGCCTGTAATCCCAGCACTTTGGGAGGCTGAGGTGGGTGGATCACCTGAGGCCAGGAGTTCAAGACCAGCCTGACCAACATAGTGAAACCCCATCTCTACTAAAAATACAAAAACTAGCCAGGTGTGTTGGTGTGCACCTGTAGTTCCAGCTATTTGGGAGGCTGAGGCATGAGAATTGCTTGAATCTGTGAGGCGGAGGTTGCAGTGAGCTGAGATTGTGCCACCGCACTCCACCCTGGGCGACAGAGTGAGACTCTGCCTCTATCTAAAAAAAAAAAAAAAAAAAGAAAGAAAAGAAAAGACAAGACAAGACTTGGGAGCTGCCTCCCTAAAAGCACATTCTGAGCATATTTCAGACATCTCTGTTAGAAGGCAGACTGCACAAACTATCCTCCCCTAGTGGAGATATCTGCACAGTGGCAAGCTGACTGGTAGAATTGGAATGCAGTTTATGCTCTGCTTAAACAAGGGTAATCAGAAATGGAATCAGTGCAAGCAAAATTTAGGATTTGCTACTTCCATAAATAAAAGCATGAATAACAGGGGTCTCTGAAATGTAAGGTCACAAACTTAGTTTGGGGCACTGCAGATGTTTGCAGAATGGCAGCCCAGTGATTATGCTACAGATGGGCTTTCAATCACCTGTGTAGGTTACCGCTTCCTCCCTCACACACACACAAAAAGTGGAATCCTTCGTTGAACTGAATATGAATATGAATTGCTCTGATTCTGCCCAGAAAATGGACGGATATACTTGTCTGTAAAACCGTGGGCCAGCCTCAGGCACGCTGGATCCCTTGCCTCAGAACTCTGGCTTCAAGGAAAGCTAATCTGCAGGGCTCACTGTGTGAATCGATTTATTACTATCACATGGATAACATGAGTTTCTTTAGCCAATTTGGGAAGCCAGACTCTCCAGAAGCCTTTCTCAGTGGTGCCTGCAGTTGCAGCCCAGGGGCTGTGTTCACAAACTGATTCGTGTGCATGATTCACAAGAGTACTGCTTCATTGCCATTGCCTAAATTTTTAATCTTTTTGTTTTTTTTTTTTTGAGACAGAGTCTCACTCTGTCACCGAGGCTGGAGTGCAGTGGCGTGATCTCGGCTCACTGCAACCTCTGTCTCCTGGGTTCAAGCAATTCTCCTGCCTCAGCCTCCTGAGTAGCTGGGATTACAGGCATGTGCCACCCCACCTGGCTAATTTTTGTATTTTTAGTAGAGACGGGGTTTCACCATGTTGGCCGGGCTGGTCTCGAACTCCTGAGTCCAAGTGATCCTCCCACCTTGGCTTCCCAAAGTGTTGGGATTATAGGCGTGAGCCACTGCACGCCGCCAGTGAGTTTTTCATCTTCTTAGACAGAAAACTGTCCACTCTTAGTCATTAAAGGCAGCATCAGCTGGGTGTGGTGAGTTCACGCCTGTAATCCCAGCACTTTGGGAGGCTGAGGTGGGAGGATCACTTGGGCTGAGGAGTTCAAGACCACCCTCGGCAACATTGCAAACGCTGTCTCTAAAAAAAAAAAAAAAAAAAAAAAATTTATATATATATATATATACACACACATATATATACACACACACATATATATATATACACACACACATATATATATACACAAAAATTAATTAGCTGGGTGTGGTGGTGTGGGCCTGTAGTCCCAAATACTTGCAGGGCTGAGGTGGGAGGATCACTTGATCCTGGGAGGTGGAGGCTGCAGTGAGCCAAGATTGCGCCACTGCACTCCGGCCTGGGTGACAGAGCAAGACTGTCTCAGGGAAAAAAACAAAAAAGCATCAGTTTTGTTTTCCCTTCCTGGGAGACATCTCTCAAACCAGGGATATTCTTGAAAAGAGCATGAGCAAGGAAACTGCTGGTGATATTACAAGTTTCTCTCCTTATCTTGCCTGTTGACTTCAATAGATTTGAGAATAGGCTGAAGAGGGAGGAAAACTTCAGTGATTGAGATTCTAGATGAAATATCAGGACTGACTCCTGATAGGATTATGGTCCAGGTTAACCAAAAACCAATTCCTTGAATGTTGAAATCTAACTTTTTATATTATCTTTATTATTGTTATAAAAACAGTTCTTCATCTTTTCTGTTTTATTTTTCTAAAACTGCTTTCAGGAGCTACCAGAAAATAACACTCAAAGTTTATGACTCTGGAAGATTTTGCTTTCCCTAACTCACATCGATGTATTAAATGTATAATTTTAGCATTCCCTATAGATCTTCTTATACCTTAAAAATAATAGCCTTTGTTTTGGAGAAGAAAGTACTAAGTTAGAGTTAGCAGGTTTCTTGTTTAGGAGAGGAGCTCAAAAATATAACCTTTAACAAATTGAAAAATAAAATATGAAATAATAGGGTGCTTTCTCTTTTGTGCACAGCTATATTAAGAAATTTCCTTTCATAGACAGCTACCTCAAAGGGAAATCCTTTTAAAACTTTCGTTGGAGGTTGGGCGTGGTGGCTCACGCCTGTAATCCCAGCGCTTTGGGAGGCTGAGGTGGGTGGATCACCTGAGGTCGGGAGTTCGAGACCAGCCTGACCAACATGGAGAAACCCTGTCTCTATTAAAAATATAAAAAATTAGGCGGGCATGTTGGTGCACGTCTGTAATCCCAGCTACGTGGGTGGCTGAGGCAGAAGAATTGCTTGAACCGGGGAGGTGGAGGTTGCGGTGAGCCGAGATCACACCATTGCACTCCAGCCTGGGCGACAAGAGTGAAACTCTATTTCAAAAAACAAAACAAAACAACACAAAACTCTTTGGGTGCAGAGGTCAGTCCTAGTCGGAACTTAGTGGGGCTGGAGACAGTCATATTATCTCCTGACTGTAAGTTGCCGTTGGCAACAGCTTTGCCTGGTGAGTTGGACTTCTGGGTGTTGAATGTGCAGTTTGTTTGTTTGTTTGTTTGTTTGTTTTTGAGACGGAGTCTCGCTCTATTGCCCAGACTGGAGTGCAGTGGCGTGATCTCGGCTCACTGCAAGCTCCGCCTCCCGCGTTCATGCCATTCTCCTGCCTCAGCCTCCCATGTAGCTGGGACTACAGGTGCCCGCCACCACGCCCAGCTAAGTTTTTATATTTTTAGTAGAGACAGGGTTTCACCGTGTTAGCCAGGAAGGTCTAGATCTCCTGACCTCGTGATCCACCTGCCTCGGCCTCTCAAAGTGCTGGGATTACAGGCGTGAGCCACTGCGCCCGGCCAAATGTGCTGTTTTAAGCATTTGTACATCTAGAAGTCTAAGGAATAGCCAGTTGTTCTAAAGACTTTTCACCCCTGGCATTAGTAGCTTCAACCTCTTTCTGGATGGACCAGCCCCTGTTAATGTTACCAAGGAAAGTACATGTCACATGCAGGAACAGTAAGCCAGCACCAGGTGTCTGCTCCTTCTCACCTAGTCACTGGCAGGCAGGCTGCCCCTGTCCTTGCTCCTACAGGTATTTTGTGTCTAATGTCAATTTTGGGGGCTATTCCTCATTGGTCCGTCACCTTGGGTTTAAAAAAAAGGAGGCTCTGTTTGGGTTGCCTAAGATCTGGTCTTAGTAAGCCCTCTTCTGACGAGATGGTAATATGCTGGAGATTAGCCAAAAAAAAAAAAAAAGTCTAATTTTTTTTTAATTTTTCTTTTTTCTTTCCTTTTTTTCTTTTTCTTTTTCTTTTCTTTTCTTTTTTTTTTTTGAGACAGAGTCTTGCTCTGTCACCCAGGCTGGAGTGCAGTGGCTCAATCTTGGCTCACTGCAGCCTCTGCCTCCTGGGTTTAAGCGATCCTCCCACCTCAGCCTCCTGAGTAGCTGGGACTACAGGTGTGCGCCACCATGCCTGGCTAATTATTTTTGTATTTCTAGTAGAGATGGGGTTTCACCATTTTGGCCAGGCTGGTCTCAAACTCCTGAACTCAAGTGATCTGCCCACCTCAGTCTCCCAGCATACTGGGATTACAGGTGTGAGCCACTGCACCTGGCAAAAAAAAGTTGTCCGATATTTGTGTGAGAGGATTTTATTGTTCATATTTCCCTTTACAGTTCTGCAATTCCACTGCAGTATTTTACCCTTTTTTTTTTTGGAGACAGAGTCTTGCTCAGTCACCCAGGCTGGAGTGCAGTGGCATGATCACGGCTCACTGCAGCTTTGACCTCCTGGGCTTAAGTGAGCCTCCTGCCTCAGCCTCCTGAATAGCTGGGACTACAGGAGTGCACCACCATGTCTGGCTAATTTTTGTATTTTTAGTAGAGATGGGGTTTTGCCATGTTGCTCAGGTTGGTCTCGAACTCCAAGGTTCAAGCCATCCTCCCACCTCGGCCTCCCAGAGTGCTGGGATTACAGGCATGAGCCACCGCACCTGGCCTCCAGCACATTGTTTTAAAAAATAACTCAGCTCTTATGAAAAGAAATTAGAAAATAAAATTAACTTATGTGGACTGTAAATGATTTGTAAGATTCTATAAATAAAGCTATATTCTATAAAAATGAAACGAAATAAAATCAGCATTTAATGGTATGAATTTCCCTTTAATCACTGAGTCCCACACATTTTTATATCAATTCAAAATATTTTCTAATTTCTCTTTTGATTTCCTTTTTGAACCATGGGCTATTTAGAAGTGTGTTGTTAGATTAGGTGAGGTTAGATTCTGATCTCAGCTTAATTTTTAGTCTTTGCAACTCCAAGAGACGTGAGTAGTGGTATGAATCCTAATTCTGTTCTCAAAGCTTTTGCTATGTTACTTTGGTTCTGTCCTAAGCATGTGTAGCTAAGGGGTGAGGCTGGAACTTTTGTGGTTCATAAAAAGAGTTAGATGAGGCTGGGCGCGGTAGCTCACACCTGTAATCCCAGCATTTTGGGAGGCTGAGTTGGGCAGATCACTTGAGGCCAGGAGTTTGAGACCAGCTGGGCCAACATGGTGAAACCCCATCTCTACTAAAAATACAAAAATTCGGCCAGGCACGGTGGCTCACCTGAGGTCAGGTGGCTCACCCAGCACTTTGGGAGGCCGAGGCGGGTGGATCACCTGAGGTCAGCAGTTCGATCACCTGAGGTCAGGAGTTCGAGACCAGCCTGGCCAACATGGTGAAACCCCGTCTCTACTAAAAATACAAAAATTAGTCAGGTGTGGTGGTGGACCCCAGCTACTCAGGAGGCTGAGGCAGAAGAATCGCTTGAACCTGCTGGGAGGTGGAGGTTGCAGTGAGCCGAGATTGCACCATTGCACTCTAGCCTGGTGACAGAGTAAGACTCCATCTCAAAAAAAAAAAAAAAAAATAGCCAGGCGTGATGGTGCATGCTTGTAATCCCAGCTACTCGGGAGGCTGAGGCAGGAGAATCGCTTGAACCCGGGAAGCAGAGGTTGCAGTGAGCTGAGATCGCGCCACTGCACTCCACCCTGGGCAACAGAGCGAGCCTCTGTTTCAAGAAAAAAATAAAAAAGAATGAGATGATCCACTTCTCACACTCTCTCCTCTCCAGGGTTTCTGCCACACCCTCCAGTTCAAAAGGGCACCTTTTCCTGTTTCCCTGACCAGAAAGACAGGGTTTATCTTGGAGATTTAGCCTGCATGCAGCCACCACTGTGCAATTCTGAACTGGGGCCCGTTCTTGGGGCAAAGCTGTGAGAGAAAGGAGAAAAAGAAAAAAAAGGATCACAGGGTTCCCTTTCCCCAGTTCCTCTCGCCAGCCATGTGGGGTTTCCATCAGAACATTCGCTACCTGCACGGCCACCGCTGCAGCCCTGCTCTTGGGCCCACTCAGGTCAAAGCCACAAGAATAAGGAGAAAACAAATGTAAAGGACACTCCCATCCACACAGGTGACTTCGTGGCTTCTGCCTGTCCTCCCCAATCCACATGCTCTTATGTGATTCGTGAGTCCTCAGGGAGTTGCTTTTTATATTTTTCCAGCGTTTTTGCTGCAGTCTGCAGGAGAGACGGGCTGTAGCGGGCTTGCTCCATCCTGGGCTCTCCATATGCCACTCCCTCTGCTGAGAACGCTCTTCCTTTCTTGTCTGGTGAGCACCTATTCCACTCCCATACCTTGCATCAGCTGTCCTGACCTCCAGGGAATCTTTCCTGACCTCCAGAGGATCTTTCCTGACCACTTTCACCTTTTAAATTCAGAGCGGGGGGTGCCTCCGCCACAGCAGCCCCCCTCATCATGCTGTCTCCCCAGCAACCAGCAGCTGGGGTAGGAGAAAGACCTCCTCTTTCATGCACATCTCTGTATTCCCAGCTTGCAAAAAGCTGAGGGAAGAATGATTATTTCTATTATCTATCTGATTCTCTACTAAAGAGACAAAATGGACATCTAAAAATCACAATAACACAAAAACTCCACAATGTTTAAATGCTGTGAGCCGAAGACGGAGGGTCCTCCGAGCCTTTGCCTGGCCAGAGTACAGGTGAAAAGCACATGCCTGAAGAGCGTGGCTCTAGCAGTCCCTTCAAAGATCATCTAGTACTTCAGTCTGTGTGGCCAATTCCTTTTTTTTTTTTTTTTGAGACGGAGTCTCGCTGTATCACCCAGGCTGGAGTGCAGTGGCGTGATCTTGGCTCACTGCAACCTCTGCCTCCTGGGTGCAAGCAATTCTCCTGCCTCAGCCCCCCGAGTAGCTGGGATTACAGCCACGCACCACCACGCCCGGCTAATTTTTGTATTTTTTTTTTTTTAGTAGAGATGGGGGTTTCACCATGGTGCCCAGGCTGGTCTCAAACTCCTGACCTCAAGTGACCCACCCGCCTCAACCTCCCAAAGTGTTGAGATTGCAAGTGTGAGCCCCCGTGCCCGGCTGCCAATTCCATTTTGACATGATATTGTTTCAATAGAAAGGCTATTTTTACAAAGTAGAAAGTGACAGTTAGAGGAAAATGATAATTTTGAGTTTTCCATTTCATTTTTTAACTGAAGAAAAGACAAAAGCTGTCATATTCCAGCTCCTAGCATTATTCAAGAAGAATGAATTTTCTATAACCATTCCTCGGGCAAACCATTCATTTTTACATTCCTGAAGAATTAACTTTGTTAAAAAACAGGATGTCTTTGTTCCAGAGTATCAAGGTTTTGCTTAACATTGTGTGCAATTTTGCTTCTCATTTCATTTGCTTCCTATGAGATTTTTTTAGCGCTAAGACAGATCAAAGAAGGTTTCCTTGTTGCCTTTGGCTCCACTACCATTTCCTCTCCCAGCTCCTCAGCTAACTGGTTATTTGCTTGGCCAGTAGTGCTATTTGCAAACAGGCTCCTGAACACTGGGAGAAGATGGTTGCTGGTAAATTGCAGCTTGTGGGAATGTCTGCAACACACAGCTGACTTTCTGGAACGTGGGGAACCGCTGACCTCAAACGTAGGTTCAAGGAGGAACCACAGCCTGCTGAGGACCCACACTGAGGTGCTGGTGGATGCGGGCAGCTGCCAAGCTGATGAGGAAGGGTTTCCAAGAAGCAGGTCAGGGCCCCAGCCTGGCAAAGGGGCTCTGGGGCTCTGGGGGAGGGAACGAAGATTGATGTCTTTTGCAGGCCGACCCTGTGACCCACACAAAGCCACAAGAATGATATCCCTTTCCCTTGCTTTCTCCTCTTGCCCTGGGACAGTACTTTTCTTCCCCATTTTCCTAGCCTTCTTCTGCAAACTTCCCGGCATTTAAAAAAAATAAACTTTATTTTTTAGAGCAGTTTTAGGTTCATAGCAAAGGTGAGCACAAAGTACAGAGTTCCCACATAACTCCTGTCCCCAAATAGGCGCAGCCTCCCCCATGAACATCCTGCACCAGAGTGGTCCATTTGTGACCATCAATGACCCAACACTGACACATCAATATCACCTAAAGTCCATAGTTTACAATAGGGCTCACTCTTGGCACTGCACATTCTATGGGCTTTGACAGATGTCTAATGACAGGTGCTCACTATTATGGTGTCACACAGAGGAGTTTCCTGCTCCACCTATTCAACCCTCCCCAACGCCACATTCAGAGCAGGAGGTGCCTCCACCACAGCAACCACTGATCTTTATACTGATTCCATAATTCTGCCTTTTCCAGGATGTCATATAGTGGGAATCACAGTATGTAGCCTTTTCAGACTGATTTCTTTCACTCAGCAATACGTATGTAAGTCTCCTCTATGTTGTGTCATGACTTGATAGCTCATTTCTTTTTTAGTACTGAATACTATTCCATTTTCTGGATGTTTCACAGCTTATTTATCCATTCACCTACTGAAGAACATCTTGGTTGCTTCCGAGTTTGGGCAATTATGAATAAAGCTGCTATAAACATCTGTGTGCAGGTTTTCGTGTGAACATAAGTTTTCAACCCAGGAAAATTCCAAGGAGTGCAATTGCTATAGCATATGGGAAGAGGAGGTGTCGTTTTGTAAGGAACTGCCAAACTGTCTTCCAAAGTGGCTGTTGCATTTTGCATTCCCAACAGCAATGAACAAGAGTGTCTGCTTCTGCAGATCCTGGCCCGCTTTGTGTATTCTCAGGGTTGTGGATTTTGGCCATTCTAAATGGTGTGTAGTGGTTTCTCCTCCTTTTCATTTGCATTTCCCTAATGACATATGATGTTGAGCTTCTCTTCAAATGCCATCTTTGTATCTTTGGTAAGATGCCTTTTCAAAACTTTTGCTCATCTTTAATAGGATTTTGTTTTGTTTTGTTTTCTATTGAGTTTTAAGAGTTCTTTTGTATTCTGAGTGACAGCATTTATCAGATGTCTTGCAAATGTCTTCTCCCAATCTGTGACTTGTCTGCTCATTCTCTTGACTTTCCCAAGCTTTTCAAAGCTCATAGGGAGGGCCTGGGACTAGAGGGAGGCTAGTGAGGGACCTAGAACACAGAATTTAAAGAGGTGATCTATCTCAGGGCCTTGCAAGTGCGATGAGACACGGCCGAGTGCCTCTTTAAATTCTCACCTAATTCTGGTCCTGCTGATGTGGTCAGACCTCAGCTGCACTAATGTCCAGCCCCACCGTCTACTGAGCAAACTCGTCACTCTCTGATAGGACCTTTTCCGTGACCATTGCTGCCAAGACAGCAGCTTCATAAAGAACACCAGGCCGGGCACGGTGGCTGATGCTTGTGATCCCAGCACTTTGGGAGGCCAAGGCAGTCGGATCACCTGAGGTCAGGAGTTAGGGACCAGCCTGGCCAACATGGTGAAACCCTGTCTCTACTAAAAATACAAAAATTAGCTGGGCGTGGTGGCACATGCCTGTAATCCCAGCTACTTGGGAGGCTGAGGCAGGAGAATGGCTTGAACCCAGGAGGTGGAGTTTGCAGTGAACTGAGATTGCATCACTGCACTCCAGCCTGGGTGACAGAGTGAGACTCTATCTCAAAAAAAAAAAAAAAAAAAAAAAAAAAAAAAAAAAAAAAAAGAACTTAGAACCCAAATTAGAGACTGTCTTTGGGACTGGGAGACTTTCTCATGACAAACAAGAGGAAGAGAAATGCACCATCGCTACTCACAGACCTGAGGGAGGCTCTGTCACTTGGCAGCATGACTTTCTGAAAGCTGTCTTATCTCTCCTAGCCTGGGGTTTTCACACCTGTGGAATAGGTAAAATGCACTTACCCCATGACATAGTTTTTTGTTTGTTTGTTTGTTTTTGTTTTTTTGAGACAGAGTCTCGCTCTGTCTCCCAGGCTGGAGTGCAGTGGCCCAATCTCAGCTCACGACAACCTCCGCCTTCTGGGTTCAAGCAATTCTCCTGCCTCAGCCTCCCGAGTAGCTGGGACTACAGGTGTCCGCCACCATGCCCAGCTAATTTTTGTATTTTTAGTAGAGATGGGGTTTCACCATATTGGCCAGGCTGGTCTCAAACTCCTGACCTTGTAATCTGCCCGCCTCGGCTTCCCAAAGTGCTGGGATTACAGGCATGAGCCACCGCACCTGGCCGACATAGTTTTAGATGAAATGAGATCATGTGAGTGAAGGGTTTGGAAAACTGTCTGGTACGGCACAGGGGGCTGTGAGGAAGTGGCAGCTCTGATCACCACTGATGCATGCAGGAACCAGCTGCGGCAGTCAATCTGTGCTTCAGACTTGTGCTGCAGACCATTTACAATGGCCTCTCCCCAGGACACTGTTGGAAACTGGAAGGCTTCCGGGTATGTTAACTTCATCAGAGAGGAAGACTGGAGTATACTGAACTCTTTGAAAGGAAAATCAGGATCCTTAGTTTCAACCATGAGACTGGATAGTATTTTGTGATATCAACCAATACTTCCCCATTCAAGGAAGGGATGGGTGTGATGGGTTAAAATACAGATATGGGGCCGGGCGTGGTGGCTCATGCCTATAATCTCAGCACTTTGGGAGGCCGAGGTGGGAGGATCACCTGAGGTCAGGAGTTCGATACCAGCCCGACGAACATGAAGAAACCCCGTCTCTACTACAAATACAAAATTAGCTGGGCGTGGTGGCACACACCTGTAATCCCAGCTACTCAGGAGGCTGAGGCAGGAGAATGGCTTGAACCCGGGAGGTGGAGGTTGCAGTGGGCTGAGATTGTGCCATCGCACTCCAGCCTGGGCAACAAGAGCGAAACTCTGTCTCAACAACAACAACAAAGACAACAACAACAACAACAACAAAAAACCAGACATGGCCCAAGAGTCTTTCTGGCTTTTGTTTCCAAAAGCCTAAACCCCAGAGGTGAGAAAGAATTCAGAGTATCGGAGGAAAATGTCTTGGCCAGAAGCAGGAGGAAGAAGAGCATTGCCTGCAGGACCGGAGAGTGACCCTCTCTGCAAGCTGGGGTGGTTGGGGGCCACAAAGCCTTGTTAGGAGACGGGGGGGGGTTACAAGACCCTAGAACAAAATGGCCATTGGGTGCCCTGAAGCGGAGGAGGTCATGGGCAGTCTTGTGGAGAGTTTTGTGTCCCCAGGCAGGACCCAAGACCACCAACAGCAACCAGCCTAAAGGGTCCCCACCCAGATGATGGTGTCCTACGGGTCACCCAGTGGACAGATACCTGGTCCTGTGTAAGTTCTGGGGAAACACTGAGGCAACCCAAGCAGGCCAAACAGGCAGAATGCATGCTTCGATTTGCGTTTTAAAACATTTAGAAAAGTCACTTTTCCCCGCATATCTGAATATGGGGATTGAGACTCGCATCAGCCCTATTCACTTTGATCCGCAGGTGCTAGGTGGTGGCCCTTTTTAAAGACAGCTTCCCTGCAGGAAGCCCAGCCTCCTTTCTCTGTATGGCTTCTCTCAGGGTTTGCCATTCCCTTCACTTTTGCATTTGTAGAGTCTTCAGCTTCCTTTGGTTCTGAGCAGGACCCAGGAGATGGACATGCATTTCCTCTCTGACAAAACTGGCACTTGTTCTCCTTGGAAGCGATAAAGTCAAACATTTGCTTGAATTTTTTTTTTTTTTTTTTTGCTTTTTTGTTTGTTTGTTTTTAGAGATGGGGTCTCACTCTGTTGCCTAGGTTGGAGTGCAATGGTGCAATCACAGCTCATTACAGCCTCAAACTCTTGGGCTCAAGAGATCCTCCCACTTCAGCCTCCTGGGTAGCTGAGACCCTAGGCACGTGCCACCATGCCCCGCCAATTAAAAAAAAAATGAAGACAGGGGCTTGCTTTGTTGCCCAGGCTGGTCTTAAATAACTGGCTTCAAGCCATCCTCCCACCTTGGCCTCCCAAAGTGCTGGGATTACAGGTGTGAGTCACCATACCAAGTTGGGATAACTCTTCTGAAATGTCAAATGCAATTACAAGAAGCAAAAAAATTGGTCCCAACTTCTCCCATATGGTATGAAAAATTAAAGAATTTCAATGCAGTTGCCTTTACTCTCGGGGACCTAGGCCTCTTCCACTCGCATGCTTTTGCTTCCACTATTTTATCTACTTTACCCCTCCTTGACTCAGCACCCAACACTTCTTGTGAAAAGCCATCTCTGCCCTCCTTCAAGGGTTCATTCTGAGGCTACCAGCCTCTCAAATTTTTCTTTCTTTTTTCTTTCTTTCTTTTTTTTTTTTTTAAGATTGAGTCTTGCTCTGTTGCCCAGGCTGAAGTGCAGTGGCATGATCTCGGCTCACTGCAAGCTCCACCTCCTGGGTTCAAGCTATTCTTCTGCTTCAGCGTCCCGAGTAGCTGGGACTAGCATGCCACCATGCCCAGCTAAGTTTTGTATTTTTAGTAAAGATGGGGTTTTACCATGTTGGCTAGGCTGGTCTCGAACTCCTGACCTCAGATAATCTGCCCGCCTCAGCCTCCCAAAGTGCTGGGATTACAGGCATGAGCCACCATGCCTGGCTCAAAGCTTTCTTGAGCTGGGCAGCCACCTTGGTCCCTGGACCTGAGCACTCCCCTTCATTTCTATGACACTTCTGGGTTTTTACTGTCTTCATCACATTGTTCCCCTCTACTTATCCTTTCTCATGTTGGTGGACAATGAATTATTTCCAATATTTTCTTTTGTACAATGATGTTATGAGCATGTCTCTTGCACGATAATTTTTCCAGGGTAGATACTACAATAGGATTAGAGTTGGTGAGTAGAGATGCCACACATCTTCACTTTTACACTTCCCTGTCTGTTAAAATAGAATGAGTAACCTCCATTCCCCATAACTTCACATACACTAAACGCACACTCACAAAAGAGGCTGGTCATCTTTCTTCAAGACATTCAAGAATTCTCTTGTGGGACTATTTCAGAAAGGTCCCCACATTGTCAGCACCTTAAAGCTGCCAGATACACATCTTCAAATGCCGTAAGTACTTGAATGTTTGCTGCTGAAAACAGCAGCCTGTGACTCAACTACTTGAATAATCAAGACCAACAGCCTGATGATGCCACGCTCTCATCACTTATCAGATGCCGTCATCAAGGCTGAGCAGCAACAGCCGGGTGTTTTGTTTGTCCCGGGAATTCTGACGAAAGTACACGGTTTGCAAAGTGCCAGCCAGCACTGCCTGAGACAGCAATTCAAGGCCTCTGGAGCAGGGTCGCCTGTCATACGCAAGTCCTGTCTGATGGCTCAAGCTGCCCCAGGAATGACCAGAAAGTCACCGTGGGAGTGTGGACGCAGCTCAGAATGACCTAGACGCATGGCCTGTAGACTTGAGGGACACGGGCTCTGGAAGAGGAACTCTGAAATACTACTGTAGCTGGTGTTAGAAAATAATCAATTGGGTGGCCAGAGGCTGAGATGGCTGTTTTGCCTAGGATTCTGACCTAAGCAAACTAAACCCAACTCAATGTCAACAGTAAAATGAAACGTGAGCCTAACCAATCACCAGCTAATTTCTAATGAGAGACTCTCCTTTTTTTTTTTTTGAGACAGAGTCTTGCTCTGTCACCCCGGCTGGAGTGCCGTGGCACGATCTCGGCTCACTGCAAGCTCTGCCTCCCAGGTTCAAGCGATTCTCCTGCCTCAGCCTCCTAAGTAGCTGGAATTACAGGCACGCACCACCATACCCAGCTAATTTTTGTATTTTTAATAGAGATGGGGTTTCACCAGGTTGGCCAGGCTGGTCTCCAGCTCCTGACCTCAGGTGATCCGCCCTCCTCGGCCTCCCAAAGTGCTGGGATTACAGGTGTGAGCCACTGTGCCCAGCTGAGACTCTCCACTTTAACTGATCAAGTATTTTTTCTTTGTCTTGCTTCCAAGAACACCTTATAAATGTTTACCCCTCACGCCCCCTCAGTGGAGCCCTGAACCTCTTGCAGTTTGGTGCTGTCCAATTAATGAATCACCCTCTGCTCGGATAAACTCTCTAAAATTGTAATGTGCCTAGGTTGATCTTTCCACACTGGTTACATGCTGCTCTATCAGCTGAGAACCTCTGGGAAGCACCGTCCTGGAGCATGCAGCACTGAGGGCTGGTGGGCATTGATGCTCTGAGCGGAGGCTCGGTGCCTGGACCCTAAAGTGGCTTCTGCATTAACACTGTTTGCATGCCCAGCGTAGCTTACTTTTTTCTTTTCTTTCTTTCTTTTTTTTTTTTTCAGACAGAGTCTTGCTCTGTTGCTCAGGCTAGAGTGCAGTGGTGCTATCTTGGCTCAGTGCAACCTCCTCCTGGGTTCAAGCGATTCTCCTGCCTCAGCCTCCCAAGTAGCTGGGATTACAGGTGTATGCCACCACGCCCAGCCAATTTTTGTATTTTTAGTAGAGATGGGGTTTCACCATGTTGGCCAGGCTGGTCTTGAACTCCTGACCTCAGGTGATCCACCTGCCTTGGCCTCCCAAAGTGCCGGGATTACAGGCATGAGCCACCGCGCCTGGCCAGTTTTTTCTAATTCCTATGAGTGGCAATACGTGGATGAGTTCTCAGTTAACCAAAAGATAGCAAGAATACTTCCTTCTGTGCACACCTCAAACAGCAGAGTTTAAGTGAAGCCTGGGAGGGCCTGGGAGGTCACCAGCAGAGGGCTGTGTGCGGAGGCTTGCTGCTTCCCAGCTGAACAGCCCGTCATGCAGGGCAAGGCTTAGTTGACATGTTTTTCCTTCTTTCTTTTTTTAAGAGACAGGTTCTTGCTCTGTCAACCAGGCTGGGGTGCAGCGGCACCATCATGGCTCCCTGCAGCCTTAAACTCCTCCTGGGCTCAAGTCATCCTCCTGCCTCCTTCCTGAGGAGCTGGGATTACAGGCACACACCACCATGCCCAGCTAGTTATTTTATTTTTTGTAGAGACAGGGTCTCACTAGATTGCTTAGGCTGGTCTCCAACTCCTGGGCTCAAGCGATCTTCCCACCCTGGCCTCCCAAAGTGCTGGGATTACAGGCATGAGCCACTGCACCCGGCCAACATGTTTCTCATCTGTGTGCAAAGACTGAATACCTAGGCTGCAAAATGAGCTCCCAGAAATGAATTAGAAAATTCTGCCTTACAAGTACAAACAGAGAAGTGGTTCTGGAGATGTGGTTTAACCAACTGGAAAAAGTATTTTTCAGACAGGAGGAGTGGATGAGGAGCCAGGAGACTTGCTTTTAATCCTATTTCTATTTTTAAAAATTATTTGTATGACTTTGAACAAGGTTTTTTCTCTTTGTGTTTTAGTCTTCCCTTTTGTAACTGTCTGTCGTCTTCCTGCCCCAAAACGATTAGAATTAAGTAAAATGCCTCAGCTGGGAACAAAACCAAGATGACGACTTGGCACATTCCTAGAATATTAGACATTGTCATCGGCCTTTGTTGAGATTAAGTAACAACTTAATGGCTCGATTCTGAAAAAACAAAAGCAAAAAGAAAAAGAAAAAACGTAGTCACGTAGTTTTCATTCTAGATTAGAAGCATGGATGAAACCGAAAGACTATTCAAAGAAAATTGCTTTTAAAAGAGGAAGGAAGAACTAATCTTGAAGGCTGTCACCCACGGACACTGCTGATCATCTGTTCCATACATTCAAAGGATCTCTCTACGGTGGTTATTCAGACCTTGCAGACAGGCTGATGTCTGTTGCTCAAGTACGCCATGCATGGAAGAGAGTATATTGGCAGCAGTGAAAAAAAATATAGGACTCATTTAAAAAGCCTGGAAATAATCTGGATACTTTCCAGGAAAAACGATGTAGAGTCTGACGCAGTTGTTGTTGTTTTAATGAGTGACAGCCTGCTGCTGGTCCCTGCGATATGGTTGTTCATGGAGACTTGTCCCTGAGCAGCAGAGCTGGTGGTATGAATGGCAGGCTGGGGATGGAGACAAGCAGGGATAAGTTCCACTTCTTCCCAGGAGCCAAAAAAGCCACAGATGACAAGATCTGCCCTCTGTGCCAGCACCCCTTCACCTGAAATGACAGAACTTCTCATGTACCATATGGCGGGACAGTGCTGGGAAGCCTCCGAGCAAGACAGTCTGCCAGGGAGGCTGGCTCTGGTTATTTCTCTTTCCACTTTATTTTAAAATTTAAAAAATTTTTATTTTTGAGACAGGGTCTCATTCTGTTGCCCACGCTGGAGTGCAGTGGTGCAATCATAGCTCACTGCAGCCTTGAACTCCTGGGCTCAAGTGATCCTCTTGCCTCAGCCTCTCAAGCTGCTGGGACTACAGGTGCATGCCACTGTGCCCAGCTAATTTTTAAAATTTTTTGTAGAGACAGAAGTTCACTTTGTTGCCCAGGCTGGCCTCAAACCCTTGGCCTCTTGCAATCCTCCCACCTCAGCCTCCCAAAGTGCTGGGATTATAGGCATAAGCCACTGTGCTCAGCCTATTTCTCCTCTCAACCAGGAGTCACCTGGTGGTGGGTGAAGAAGCAGCTGGATGGGAGAAGTCCAACCAGGATAAGGCCATAAAAAGCAAGAAAAATGTACACATGGCCCAGCTCATGGACAGTCTTTATAAGCAAATAGGGAAGGATAAAAAGACGAGAATCCAAATGTGAGAAGCAGAAAAATAAAGCTCTGGTCCTAGGAAAGGTTCATGGTGGGAAATGGGAGGATTCGAAATCAGAGAGAGCTCAGATTGGGGTCCTACAGGATGGCACAGTTAGTTCCACTGGTCACTAACTAGTCCCCACTCCTCCAGGGAGGGTGAGGGATCAGCTAGTCTCAAAATTACCCTCCACCCCTGCACCAGGAAGACTCACTCTCTGTAAAGCTTCCCAGTCAATGCCCTTGTGTCACGAGTGGTTACTGTCTGGGGCCAGTGGCACGGGCAGTAAAAAGAATTTGCCAAGACAGTCATAGGTACAGAAATGCAGATTTATTAGCAAAAGCATGGAAATATGTTGCAAGAAAGCAATAGGCCAGTTAGCAAGAGAGGAGCTGACTGGAGGAGACAAAGGCTTCCTGGGGATTTTATAGGATGGAGCTTGTTCTGTGTGCTGGAGAGGGCTAAGTGCAGTATTGATAATGTCAAGGTGGCTGTGAACTAACTTGCATTTTTCTATCAACCGAGGGTCTGGTGATATCTGGGTGCAGGAAGATCGTGAGTCATTTGCGCAGATGGGCTATGTGTCCTAGACTATGAAGAAACGCAGATTTATAGCTTATCTGTATTTTCTTTCTGCTTTCCCTTGCTCCCACCAGCCTGGCTCCTTGTTCCTAATTAGGACCCCACAGTAAGGCTGCCTTCCTTTGCTGGCTGGACGCAGTGGCTCACGCCTGTAATCCCAGCACTTTGGGAGGCTGAGGCGGGTGGATCACCTGAGGTTGGGAGTTTGAGATCAGCCTGACCAACATGGAGAAACCCTGTTTCTACTAAAAAATACAAAATTAGCCAGGCGTGGTGGTGCATGCCTCCTACTCGGGAGGCTGAGGCAGAAGAATAGCTTGAACCCAGGAGGCGGAGGTTGCAGTGAGCCAAGATGGTGCCATTGCACTCCAGCCTGCGCGACAAGAGCAAAACTCTGTCTCAAAAAACAAAAAACAAAACAAAAAAAAGAAATACTTCCTTTGCTGAAGTCAGCAGCTGATAGAGGAAGGCAATACAAAGCCGGGTATAGACAGTGAATAAATTTAGAAAATGTACCAGAACATGGCATTGTTAATGAACCATGGAGCACCAGAAATGGAAGGATTTTGCAAACCATGGTTCCAATGGTTTTAAAGCGCAAAGTTTAAACATTTATAAATTAGGTCCCTTCTAAAGTCAATCAGACAAACGCAGTCTCTTACAGCCTCTTATGGTTTGGATATTTGGATATCCAAATCTCATATTAAAATGTGATTCCTTTGGGAGGCTGAGACGGGTGGATCACCTGAGGTCAGCAGTTCGAGACCAGCCTGACCAACATGGAGAAACCCTGTCTCTACTAAAAATACAAAATGATTCAGGTGTGGTGGTATGCGCCTGTAATCCCAGCTACTTGGGAGGCTGAGGCAGGAGAATCACTTAAGCCCAGGAAGTGGAGGTTGCAGTGAGCTGAGATCGCACCACTGGACTCCAGCCTGGGCAACAAGAGCAAAACTCCATCTCGGCGGGGAAAAATGTGATTCCTGATGTATGGAGGTGGGGCCTGGTGGGAGGCGTTTGAGTCATGGGGGTGGAGCCCTCCTGAGGCCTCCCCAGAAGCAGATGCTGGTGCCATGCTTGTACAACCTGCAGAACTGTCGGCTAAATAAACCTCTTTTCTTTATCAATCACTGAGCCTCAAGTATTTCTTTATAGCAACACAAAACCAACTAATACATGGCTGTATTTTCAGTATCTGTCGCCACAGAAGATACAACACGACAAAGCTGTGATTAATTCAGTAACATACTTAAATTCATCTTTATTAATCCCAAAGGCATCTATGCATACTTGCAAATTAATCAGCAGGATACAAACACATGGCAGTCGCAATTGCTCTACACAGGTTTCCTGGGTTGTGCACCTGTATTCAGAGACCCCTTGCAGTGGCTCTGAAGGCCCACCTTCCACCTTGAGGAAGCTGAAGGGCAGAAGACTGAAGGTAACTTAACCTCCTTAACCAACCAGTTAGTGTTTGAGAACCTGGTATTGCTGCACTGCCAGGGGACACCCAGGTAATGGCCAGGAACCCTCCTCTTGCTAGACAGGTAAGCCCAGACTAGTGTAGGGAGGAACTGGCTCTCTCTCTGTAGAGGGAGAATATCCTGAGAGACAGGGCTGGGCTGTTTTCACCGTGCTTCCTCATACCTGCCCCTCCTCTGACCAGCCAGAGTTATCCGCACTGCCTCAAGGAGAATGAGGACGATTACACAGAAGTGCAAAGAGGAATTTTGCTTTTTACTTCCAAAGCGGGTTCAGAAAGCCTTCTTCAGGAACAAGTTTTAGACGCTAAAGCCTTTGATTTATTTGAGGAAGGCTCTTTGGGGGTCTCAGAAAAGGGGAACCCCAAAGGCACCAGGTCCTGCGGTGAGGCCTGGGGCAAGGTCTAGGGGAGCCCCGTGTAGAGGAGAGCAGCTGGCACTGAGCAGCAGGCCTGCATTCCCTCATCTTTGCCACATGGGGAGCAGTGCCTGCAGCAAGCCACGGCCACGCAGAGGCACGGTGCCCACGCTGAGACCTCCCATCAGAGACCTCCCATCAGAGACCTGCGTATCTCCATGGGTCCTCCAGCAGGGCAATTGCCTGTGCCCTGAGATGTTGGTGAGCCTCAATCACATTCCTCCATACAACAATCTCATGTTAAGACCAGAGATCCGATGAACCCCCAAAGCAGGGTGGGATCCCCAATACTGACAGGCGATGGCATGCGGATGCCCCAGTGTTGTACTTCTGTACCTGGGAGGGACACATCGGAACTGGATTCTGGGACCCTATTTCCTTGTAAGTGCATTCTAGGTCTTTCCCTGCTACCCCAGCTGCTACCTCTTACCCCTAGGGCAAGAGGATACCCTAGGAACAGTGTGGAGTTCGAGTGGAAGCCCTGGGTGCCGTCCTTGCTCCTCTAGGCACCTTGTCCTGATGGTGATTCTCCTTTGAACCACAGTCTCCTCCTTCAAGAATGGGGATAAAGATCCCTGCCTCCCCACTGCACTCCAGCCTGGGCGACAGAGCCAGACTCCGTCTCAAAAAAAAAAAAAAAAATCCCTGCCTCCTGGCATTTCTGTAAAGATCAAGTGGACAGGGTACATGAATGCTTTTAGCAAACTGAAAAATGCTAATCAAATGCTAGTGATTGCTCCTTTGAAAATCCAAGCACAGCCTGCAAAATACTTGGAATATAAATTGAGCAGACATATCGGGAGTAGTTTCAGGTTATGCTTACGTGTCCTTTATTTAAAAAAACAATGCTTAAAACACCACCTAAAAATTCCTCTGACCACCTATTTCAGTCAAACGCTGGAAGATGGGGGATGCTTTATATTAAAGAATTAGAATGAGGCTGGGCGCGGTGGCTCACACCTGTAATCCCAGCACTTTCGGAGGCCAAGGTGGGGGGATCACTTGAGGCCAGGAGTTCAAGACCAGCCTGGGCAACATGGCGAAACCCCTTCTCTACGAAAAATACAAAAATTAGCTGGGCGCGGTGGCGCGTGCCTGCAATACCAGCTACTAGGGGAGGCTAAAGCATGAGAATCGCTTGAACCTGGGAAGTGGAGGTTGCAATGAGCCGAGATTGCACCACTGCACTCCAGCCTGGGAGACAGAGCAAGACCTTGTCTCAAAAAAAAAAAAAAAAAAAAAATTAGAATGAGGAAAACAATGATGAGGTGGAAACAGATGTTTGAACATAGGAGAATTTTCGATGCATAAGGATGCTGCGGGCACTTAACCAGATGTCTGCCCTTCACTACCTGGCCAGGGTGGCACTTTTAAACCATCTGATAATGGAGAGAGGCGGCACAGTCTGTATGGGCACACAGCTCACTCTGTGGCTGAAGCCACATGTGGGTGCACTGGGCCCAAGGAGCTGACCTCTGCTCTTGTGGCACTCCCAGTCCGGCACAGACTTGAGGAGACCACCGAAAAGGAGCCCAGGCCAATGGCCTGCAAAGCCACTTCCCTCTACTTGACCAAGAAGAGCTTCCCGGACCCTGGCTCCTGCCTGCGCATCTGGCCAGCTTCATCTTCCAATGCTCCTGGTCTCCGATAAGCCCCAGCTGCTGGACTGCTGTTTTTAAACCCCTTCCAGGCGGGAGGAACAGAAGAGAGGTGAGTGGACAGGTGCAGGCCCTGGAGCCTGAATCTGCTCCTTTCTAGCTCCGGAAATGTGGGTAATTCCCTTCACCTCCTGCTTTCTTCCCTTCAAAATAGAGGAATGGTTGTATTGGTTTCTATTGTGGCTACAACACATTACCATATATTTATGGCTTAAAACAATGCAGTTTTATTATTTTACAGTTCTGGAGTTCAAAAGTCTGAAATGGGTCTCGATGGACTAAAATCAAGGTGCCAGGAGGGCTGTGGGTGGAAGCTCTGGGGAGAGTTCGTATTTCTGCCTTTTCCAGTGTCTACAGCCATCTGCAATCCTGAGCTTGTGGCTCCTCCTGCATTTTTTTTTTTTTTTAACATTTTACTTTAAGTTCTGGGATACATGTGCAGAACGTGCAGGTGTGTTACATAGATATACGTGTGCCATGGTGGTTTGCTGCACCTATCAACCCATCATCTAGGTTTTAAGCCTTGCCTGCATTAGGTATTTGTCCTAATGCTCTCCCTGCCCTTGCCCCTCACCCCCCAACAGGGCTCGGTGTGTGATGTTCCCCTCCCTGTGTCCATGTGTTCTCATTGTTCAACTCCCATTTATGAGTGAGAACATGCGATGTTTGGTTTTCTGTTCCTGTGTTAGTTTGCTGAGAATGATGGTTTCCAGCTTCATCCATGTCCCTGCAAAGGACATGAACTCATTCTTTTTTATGGCTGCATAGTAATCCATGGTGTATATGTGCCACATTTTCTTTATCCAGTCTATCATTGATGGGCATTTGGGTTGGTTCCAAGTCTTTGCTATTGTAAATAGTGCTGCAATAAACATACATGTGCATGTGTCTTTATAGTAGAATTATTTATAATCCTTTGGGTATATACCCAGTAACGGGCCCTCCTGCATTTTTAAAGCCAGCCCAGCAGCATCCCCCACCTTCTCTCTCAGATGCGCCTATCTTCCTCTTATGAGAACCTTTGTGACGACACTGGGCCTGCCAGGTATTCCAGGATCACCTCCCCATCTCAGGATCTTTCCGTTAATCACATCTGCAAAATCTTTTTTGCTGTGTAAGATTCACAGATTCACAAGTTCCAAGGATTAGAGGGTGGCCATCTTTGGGGACCATGATTCTACCTACCACAGTAGTCATCAGGAATAAGTAGTTCATACAACATAAGCCACTAAGAGCCTGGGCTGCAGGAAGCACTTAATTAATGTGAGCCATAATCATTCTCCCTTGCTGAAACAGAGCCCCCAGCCTGGAAGGCTTTCGCCTTGCACTGGCTGTGCCCCAATAGTTCCATCTGGCCAAATCATGAGACCTCCTTCCAGATGCCTTCCCTGTCCTTCTGGGCCGGGCTTGGTGTCCTTCTGTGTTGAGGTGGGAGCTTTTCTTAATTCCGTGTTGTATGCTTTTTTTTTCTGAGACAGAGTCTTACTCTGTCGCCCAGGCTGGAGTGCAGTGGCACTATCTTAGCTCACTGCAACCTCTGCCTCCTGGGTTCAGGCGATTCTCCTGCCTCACAACCAGCTAATTTTTGTATTTTCAGTAGAGACGGGGTTTCACCCACGTTGGCCAGGCTGGTCTTGAACTCCCAATCTCAGGTGATCTGCCCGCCTTGGTCTCCCAAAGTGCTGGGATATCAGGCGTGAGCCACCGTGCCCCGCTCTGTGTTGTGTTATAATCCTCTGTCTCCCTCACTGGATTGTAAATGCCTCAGGAGCAGGGATGGCCTCTGACTTATTTTGCATTCCTACCCCTAGGACATGGCACACAGCAGCTGTCAAATGTCTCCTGGACGGCTCATGGGTGAAGGTAGGTCTGTGTCCTTTGGGGTGTCCAGAACCTCAGAGCTGCCGTTGCTGCTGTGGGAGGGGAGCAGTGAGGGGGTCTCTAGGTGGGGATCTTGTGCTCTGACAGAGGCAGCTCTTCAGGGTGGTAGCTGGTTTCCCCACAGAGAAGGCTGTCTCTCACCCCAGGCAGAAGAGGACAGATCCATGCATTCAGCCTGGGGAGGAGACCTGGTGTTGCAGGCACATCATGCTTACGGTGGTCAAACCCTCACAGCCCCACGAGGAGCGGGAGAGGCTGGCATAGGACACAAGAGCCTGGGGATGCTTAGGCAGGTTGGGGGGAATCAGATATCAGGAATAAGGACCCACAGAAATCATTTGGTTCAATGCATCTCAAATCTGGTGGCTGCAAAACTCAAAGACTAATTCCCGGACCCTAGCCCAGACCCACTATGTCAGAATGTCCAGGGGATGAGGCCCAAGAAGGGATATTTTAAAAACTGCCCAAAATGTATGCAGCCAGGTTTGAGAACCACTGCTGCATCTACCTTAGGCTTTATACACAGACTGTGCTACAAGTAAATGGTTCTCAAAACAGGTGTGTAAAACAGAAGAAAGGATACACACATCATTCAACAGACTACAGTGAACCTGCCAGACCACGCATCAAGGCGAATACATAAGACAGTCCTTGCCAAGCTGCGTCCTTGAGCCCGCCTGAATCCCGGCAGGGTGGAGTTGAGGGCGGCCTCTCTACTTCATTTAGCCCACCAGACCTTCGGACCTGAGGGTCTCTGATCCAGCCTCTCGGGGCCACCACCCCCTGCAGGGCTCCAGGAAGAGTCAAATTGCCCGGTGGGCCAGAGCTCTCCCTCCCTTTTGTTGCCGCTTGGCGCCTGGCAGGTCAGAGGTCACTGGGCCCAGCAGCCCCAGTCCCTGGATGGGTGGAGCACCCACAAAACAGCCAGGCTGTGAAGAGGCCCACTTTGGAGTGAGAAGGGGCTGCTTCTTGCGTGTCATTTTGCAAAAAGAATCTCTGTCTCTTCCTCTACCTTGAGTTACACTACCAAATACTCCTTTTGGTTAATGTAGCTTTCTTATATGCTAGGGGTGAGAGGAGGGGAAAGCCACCTTATTCTGTCAGGAAGGCACTTGGGCATAAATTAATCTGTAGGCCAAGTGCAGTGGCTGATGCCTGTAATTATGCACTTTGGGAGGCCGAAGTGGGAGGATCACTTGAGGCCAGGAGTTCCAGACCAGCCTGGGCAACATAGTGAGAACCCATCTCTACAAAAAGTTTTAAAAGAATTTAGCCGGGCATGGTGGTGGGCAACTGTAGCCCCAGCTACTTAGGAGACTGAAGTGGAAGGCTCACTTGAACTGGGGAGCTCAAGATTGCAATGAAATACCATCACATCACTGCACACCAGCCTGGGCAACAGAGCAAGACCCTGCCTCTAAAACTAAATAAATAATCGGCGGGGCACAGTGGCTCACGCCCGTAATCCCAGCACTTTGGGAGGCCGAGGCAGGCGGATCACCTGAGGTCAGGAGTTCTAGACCAGCCTGGCCAACATGGTGAAACCCTGTCTCTACTAAAAATACAAAAAATTAGCTGGCGTGGTGGCGGGCGCCTGTAATCCCAGCCGCTAGGGAGGCTGAGGCAGGAGAATGGCTTGAACCTGGGAGGTGCAGGTTGCAGTGAGCCGAGATCGCGCCACTGCACTCCAACTTGGGTGACAGAGCAAGACTCCACCTAAAAATATAAATAAATAAATAATCTGTGACTCCATCAACACTTTCACCTGTTGGCTCCACGTGCATCAGATGAGCTCATTTGGGAGGTCACCTTAACCTCGGATCAACATGGCAGGTCCTCCCACAAGCAGCCTATTTAAAATGTGAGCCACCCCCTTCCCCGGAATTCCCTACCTCCCAGCCTTGTTTTATTTTTCTCTCATGCACTTACTATATCTTAAATGCTTATTTATTCATGTACTTGTTTAAACTACTTTTGATTTTCTGACTTCTTATCATTGGTCTGATTCCTCCACCGTAACAGAACTTCCATGAGGGCGGGGATTTTTCGCTTCCCCCGCAACTGCCTGCGTTTTCGTAGCCCTAGAGCTTCCAACGTACAGTGCGGAAAAGCAACATAACACACTAAGAACCGTGCGGAAAAGGAGAGAAAACCAGACCGCAGGGGCATTTCACAGCTAACCACAGCGGTCCGAGGCGAACGCAGGGTGGAAGAACCCGAGCGAGGCCCGGCAGGGGCGGGGTGAGCCTTGGCCCCGCTCCCGTGCAGGTGTCGCGGGTAAGCTGCCGCGGTTACTGTGAAGCAGGGCCAAGGCCAGCCCTCCGCCTCGAGGCCACTGGTGCTTGGGGGTGGGAAAAGAGTGACCGGGGGCAACTGAGCAAAACATAGAACAGAAACTCCCTCTCGAATAGAGACCCACGCACGGAAGGATGATACACTGTGATTCCCCGACGTGGGCCTGCAGCAAGAGACGGGTGCTAACAGCGTCCGAGCCAATCCGTAAGCATCAGAGGGACAAAGAAATCATAAACAAGAGGCAGGATGCAACTGCTTCAACGCAGAAAGAATGAGTCATCCAGGAAGGCGAGGTGGTGGCGGGTTGGCTGTGGTTTTGCAGAGGCGGGCAGGAGGGGCAGGGGGCCAGGGAGAGGGCAGGGTTGGGAGGGTCTCTTTTAAGGGAATCCTATGCATGAAAGTCTGTGTAAGAAAGGGTGTGCCTCCTACAGAAGGATATTTGTTTTGTCCTAAACTTGCCGTGTGTTCTTGGAGGCGCGGGCCTCCCTGCTGTCATCACACCTCGGATCACCCCAGGCAATCTCGCCCCTGTGGCTTCACCTGGGTCCAGCCAGACCTCTGCTCAGCTCTGCACGTACATGCCCCCTCGATGTCACCTCCTGACTTGGCAAGTCATACACCCTCTCTCTACTTGCCCAGCTTCATTCACAAAACCAGGTCACATTACCCCTCGTCCATCCATGCTCAGTCTGGAAACCCTGGGATCCCAGACACCAGCCTCTCCCTGGCCCTCTGTTTCCAATCAGACGGCCACCCCGACTGACGCTGGGGCCGGGGCACCCTTGGGCGTTATCCAGTCTCCCTGTCCTCCCTCTCCTGCCCCACGCCTCCGACCTTCCCCACATGGCAGTCACAGCCAGACGGCCAAGGTGGGGCCTGCTGCTTCCTGCTTCTGCCTGACAATGGCCCTGGATTCCCCATTCTTCACGGTCAGTCTCACCTTCACACCCCGGCTCTGAGCAACCTTTCTGCTCTCTCCACTCCTCTTTCATGACCCTGGGCCCCTGCTGGCCGCCCTGCCTGGAAAGCCCTTTCTCATTTGTCTGGCTTGAAAAACCTGCCTCAGCTCACCAGGGCCAGCTCAAGACTCCCTCTGTTGTCACACGCTTTCTGCACTGCTATCAGAAAGAACTAACACTCTCCCTGTCTGTGCACTAATCCAGGGTAGGTGGGCTGTTTTCACACATGCACCCCCTCTAGGTTCTGACTCCTCTGGAGTGCATGACCATATCTTATTTGTTTCCCTGTCACCAGTGCCTAAACTATCTGATGCATATATTTATTGCAGGTGCTTATCACACATGCAGTCAATGAACACCTCACAAATGCAAGGTTCACATGCAGTCTTCGATGAACACATCGATCGCATCCAGCAGTATGTCTGTATTGGAAAAGTCCTTCCATAGCACCCAGTAATGAAAAGGAATGTGGCGGGGAGCAGTACTGGACAGTAAAACTAAAAACACCAGGAAGATCACAGTGAGATCAGCAGAGCCCTAGAATGGCAAATCCATGACAAAGAAAATTTCTGATGAATAAAAACGTGCCTGGGTCCAGGCCAGCAATTGGCTTCTTTCAGACACTATTGACTGCAACAAACCCTAGCACAAGGAGAGGGTCTAACGAGAAACTTGTTCAGAGGATGCTGACCCATCCATCAGTGAGCACAGCCAACCCAAAAAGGCGGGGACGCGGCAGAGCAGGGGCTGAGGGCACACTTGCTGCAGTGTTCACGGAGCACACACAGAAAGATCTGCCCGAGAGAGTCCCCAAAAGGCACAATTCTACAAGGTCAACCAAGTGGAGGGGAATGGCAGTGAAACGCCAAACTCCTACTGAAAGGTTGATGGGTACAGCCTTCCAGAGACAGGGCTGGGTGGCGGGAACGCGGGCACCCAGAGGTCCAGATCAGCAAAAGAGGCCAGTGACTCTGTCTCCATCAGATAAAATTCAGCCACAGCGGGAGGGAGCGTGTGAGACCCACGAAGGCCTTGCCCTGGACCTACACCTCACCCTGTTCCAGAGAGAATTCAGTGGCCGGCAACACTGCCAGTTCCCCTTTATTTCCCTTGAGGTCAACATTTTGGAATTTTCTACTCACATCCACCGAGCGACCCTCCTCGGCCACCTCCACACCCACACTCCAGGCCCACCACTGCCCTTGGGCATGAGCAAGCCTGACGCTGTCTCTCATCCTGGTAACACCTTCTTCCCCGCACACACCGTCAAACACATGCACGGTGTAGACTGAAGTCATCAGGTCTCCTTAACCAGGCTGCAGTCCCCTAGTACCCTGCCATGCAGCCCCACAGCTGCCGGGGGGATAAACAAGCACCTTCAGACTAGAGCAGCTTCTGAGTGATACGCAAAGTTAACTGGGGCACAGAGAAAACAGAATTTTCCCAAGATTGCTGAAGGAAAACTAAAACCGAATGAGGACTGACTCATGCTCGTTTAGTCGGCCACAGGCTAGGGGCAGCGGAAAGGCCCTGCTGGAAATTTCCATCCAGGGTCTGTGCAGGGCGGGTACCCCAGAGCCGCAGGGCAGGGCAGATGGCTCCTCAGATCGGGCTGGAGAGACATCCAGGAGGAGGATGCCAGTTGTTGGGTGTAGCTGGACCTTCCTATAGACAGGGAGCCATGGGAAGACAGAGACCACTGATGAGGAAGGGGAGATGCAGCAGCAGACACTCCGTCCACATGGGCCCCGGGCCGCCAGAGACCCCAGGGCCCACGTGGACGTGTGGGTGTTGAAGGGTAACACGTAGCCCTTTCCAAGGTGTGTTGATGACTTGGCTCAGCCTGCAAAGCCAGGCTGCCTGTACTGCTGCCTGACCTCTGGCCTCTGGCCTCCAAGAGCCTGACCCTCTGGGAAGACAGAGTCCCAGCATGGGGCATGACCACCCCATCTGCTCTTCCTGTTCATCAGTGTCTGGACCTGAGCCACAGAGTCCTGCTGGGCCATTGTGGAGAAGAACCTGCTCTCAGCCCTCAGCAGCCTCCCTGCCCTGCCCTGCCTCCCACCCCAATCTCAACAGCCTCTTGCTCTTTTCTTCCCGCCATCTAAGCTCATTTCTCCTCTTTGGGCCTTCATACATGGGTACTGCTTTGCTAGAAATCTCTCAATTTTACCTCTCTGTGTGGTGGGACACCAGAAGAAACAAGGTTGAGTTTGGGTGCTGGAATTTGGAGGAACATGTAAACACTTTTTCTGCTGTAGTTGTAGAGGTGCTTGAATAAGAATGTTCAGGCTGGGCATGGTGGCTCACACCTGTAATCCCAGCACTCTGGGAGGCCGAGTCAGGTGGATCACCTGAGGTCAGGAGTTCGAGACCAGCCTGACCAACGTGGAGAAACCCCGTCTCTACTAAAAATACAAAATTAGCCGGGCGCGGTGGCACATGCCTGTAATCCCAGCTACTTGGGAGGCCAAGGCAGGAGAATCGCTTGAGCCCAGGAGGCGGAGGTTGCAGTGAGCCAAGATCGTGCCATTGCTCTCCAGCCTGGGAGACAAGAGGGAAACTCAGTCTCAAAAAAAAAAAAAAAAAAAAAAAAAGAATGTTTAAAAAGAGTTAAAAATGTTTTCCTTCTTCCTATTTTATCGCCCTGCCTCTCTTTCTTTGTTGGAGCCCATATGGAGGGGACAGAAGACAAGGCCTTACAGCTGTACATTAGGCAGGGGCACCAGGAGGAGGTCCAGGCACTGATGAGAAAGGCATAAAGGCACAGTTAATGCCAGCTCATATGATCCATCGTGGCTGTTGTCCCGCCTCATGCACAGGGGGTGTTGGGGAAGAAACAATCTCTCTGGCCCAGAGGGATACTTAGAGTGCTTCTTCTATCTCTAGGGCCTTCCATGGCCTCAGAGCACATGTGTCACACCACAGAAAGCCAACCCAGCAACTCAGAGAGAAATGGTTTTAGAAATCTAAGAAGCAAGAGAAACAAATCCTCCTGGGAAAGGAGCTCATGTGCAGTGCCTGAGTGTGGGTCTCTCTACAGTTCTCCACTTTTTTCTCTTCCACACGTCTCTGTCACTTTCACTTGTCATTTGTGTATACTTTTCCTACATCAGTTAAAAAAGGTTCCCACCACCCACCAAACCCGCTGCCAGAACACTCCTGGACAGAGAGGACACAAGCAGTCACTGCTGTTTTTTGCAAATTAGAAACTTGGCAGGTATCCTGTGAGTATCAAAGGAGATCATCCACATGACACGTCTAGCCCAATCATTGCCCTTCTTTCCCCTTGTTGCCCACTAACCTGGGCTCCTAGCCCTATCCGATCCTCGGAGACTGGGCCTTTGGTGACCCACAAACCTCACGGCCATGGAGACGAACAGTTCCTCCATAGCTCCCTATACTTCCTCACTCCTGGGCACCCAGGGCTCCTTCCCCAGTGAGCACGGCGTCTTGCACACAGCCGGCTTTCCCTTATCTGCATGGCACCTGTCACTCTGTCTACCAATTTCCAGCAGGGAATCTGATTGCCCACCAGCCACCATTCAGTCTAACAAGAACTCCTTGGCAATTAGAGGAATTTGGAACGCTCCAGCAAGCTCACTGAACTGATCTCTTTTTAAGCACCCATTGTTTTCTCTGCAGTAATTTTTTTCTTTCAGCAGCTTTTCTAGCCCCTATTTCTTAACATTTCCTAAAATGAAAATTTCATTTGTGTTTTTACTTTTGATCATTTATTAACAGTCTTTGGCTTATTCTTTAGAGGTTTTTAACCAGCTTCTTTCAGTCTTTCGGTAGTATTACCCTGCAATCTCCTTTTCTTTCCTGATACCATTTAGCTTTTCTGACTTTCAATTAAAATATCCTTGCTATCCACTGTTGATAGGTTATTTATGTAGTACTTATACCTCTATTAAAGGAGTTAAATTTTGGTTTCTGGTTTTAAAAAAGAAACAATCTCTCTACCTGAATAATACAAGTCTCTATGCCTAAGTATATCTAGAATGAATAAAAATACCAAATTTTAAAAAAGGAAAACCAGCAAGATTAGATAGCAGTATATCCTTAAAAGGTGTTTCAAGAACAAAAATCAGGTAATATTTTAAAGTTACTACTTCAAAATTCCACGAAGAAAGGGGCAATCTTCTGACATACATTATTAGGCATTCTCCCCTCTCCAAGCAGAAACTGAGACAAACTAGGAAAAATGTGATAGTGAAATAAGTGAGATGCAGCTATAAATAAAAGAAGAAATTGTTGGGTACAGACCTTAGTCTTTGCTTTCTGCATAAGCAGTAGTTTTGTGGTAGGCGTGGGTTTGGGCGTGTAGGTCTTGGGGGAAGGAGCATTGTACACATTTTACAGTGTTCCTGCCCTCCTGAGACAGCTGTGGCTCTTGCTTCCCCAGGGGTCAGGGTCCATGTTCCCACCTCATGTTGTTTATTTATTTTGAGGCCAGAGTGCAGTGGCACCATCTCAGCTCACTGCAACCTCTGCCTCCCAGGTTCAAGTGATTCTCGTGCCTCAGCCTCCCAAGTAGCTGGGATTACAGGCGTGCACCACCACGCCCGCCTAATTTTTTGCATTTTTAGTAGATACGGGGTTTCACCACGTTGGCCAGGCCGGTATCGGACTCCTGACCTCAAGTGATCTGCCTGCCTCGGCCTCTGAAAGTGCTGGGATTACAGGCGATGTTCCCACCTGATGTTCTATCATTTCAAAGAATGCACTGAATATTGGGGGACTTCAGGGACTGTCACTTTTGCTTTAAAAACTGTAAAGTGAATCTAGGAAAAGCTTTTTTTTTTTCTGGTTTCTCCACCATCAGTTTGCATGAGAAACGCCAATCATAGGACTGCTGGGAATGGCCCCTTAGCTGTGCTGTTTCTGAGCCAGGCCTACATCCTCCACTGGCTTCCTTGGGCGAATTTTAAGGCCTATGAGCACTGGAGTTGTGCATGGAGGTGGGGGCCAACAGGAAGTCCATTGTCCTAAATAGTCATTTCAGCCTAACTAACCCCATGGTGAGGCTGCTCATTAACAGGCAAGGCATCACTGTAAACCTTGCATTTGCATTTACACCTACTATTTATTAAGTGCCACAGCCATCTCTTATCATGACCGGTCACTGAGCAAACCCTACATTTCAAAAACAATCCAGTTTATAGGTCCTCTGTCTGTTTCTCCGGGCTGGAAAAGGCTTTCCATTTATCAACTTAGTTGTCCCCCCAGTCGCCTCTTGCAGGGAACAGGGCCAGATCAGATGGCGGCTGGTTCCCCTCCCCCGCCTCATACAAAAATCAGGAAAAGGAGTTGCGGGAGGAATCGAGAAGCCGGCCGCAGAGCCCAGGTCCCCCATGGCTACTGTGAGGCATTCGCCGCTGCAAATTTCCTGTCCACTGTGGGAAGCGGCACACCTCACTCATGAGCAGACGACAGGACTGGCACGTTTTAATGGAGCACACGGGCGCAGCCTAGGCGGCCTTTTGCTCCGGCTGAGAGGCACGGGCCCGGTGCCAGCATTTGACAGTCCTGGGAGGCGACGGGTAGAGGAGAGACGCGGCAGCCGCGGGGCCGGGGAGACGGTGGGAGGCCCGGCGTCCATCATCCACTTTATTACTTGATCAAACTTTAACATTTTCGGGTTTCCTAACACCTTAGCCCCAAATACTCGAAATGAAGCAAATCTTAAATTAAGGAGTCTTTCCCCACCACGCTCTGTCCTCCTCCCCACTTCACCCTCCCGCCGTTTCGCGTTATTTCCAAGGCAATTTAAAAAATCAAGCCAAACAAAGCTCCCCGGTTGCTGCCGGGCGCGCGCGGCGAACGAAGCACATTTCAGTTCAGCACCAGCCTCGGGGACAGACGCCATCAAGGAGGTGAGGAAAACCACCCTCAGCTGCGGTGGCTCCAGCGTCACCCCGAGTGCTCCCGAGGCGGCGTCTGGGCTGCTGGGGAGCCAGGAGGGCTTCCTCAGGCACTCGCCAGAAACATTTCCCCAAAGAAAACGCCCAACCAGCCACGCCATCTCCTGCCACTGAGGTCCTTTTCCACGGGGGACGTCCCCGCTGGGAAAACAGCAAACGCTCTGTGACCTACAAATGGAAGAGGGGACCCCCGAGCCCCCGCCTGCCTCATGCCGGAGGGACCGGGCGCCCCCAGCCCCGGAAGCCCCTGGACGCGCTCCGAGGGGGCTGTCCACACCCGCGCGCGGGCTTCCCCGGGGCCCGGCGGGAGGTCCCGGGAGAGGAGGCCGAGGGAACCACAGGTCTTTGTGTCGCGTGCAGCAGCAGCTGGCGGCGTGAGGACCACACCGGCGCCAGAGCCGTCTCCCTAGGTCCGGAGACTTTCACCCCGAGTTTCCCTTCCGCGTCTGGCTGCACCGGGCTGGGCTCTCCCCGCGGACACCCGGGGCTCCGGCCGGGCGCCCACTTACCCGGAGCGGGATCACGCGCGGGCTTCGTCTGCAGCGCGGTGCTCGCGGGGGGCGGCCAGGCCGAGCGGCATCGCTCCGCATCGGGGCGCGGGCCGGGCTCGGGTGCAAACGCGCGCCTCGTGCCCCTCCCGCCGCCCGCGGGGTCTCCGCGTCCCGTCACCGGCCCCGCCCCGCGCCGCGCCTCCCGCCCTGCAGGGCCCGACCACGCGGGCCTGGGGGCGCAGGCGGACCCTCCCCCGGCCCTGGACGCTGGGGGCTTCTGCTCGGCCCCCTGTGCCGTGGGGGCCCAGACTGGGGAAGGGAGAGCCGGCGACTCTGCGACCCTCGCCCCCGTTCCACGCTGGCCGCGCCCACTCCGCCGCGGGGTCTCGCCCGGGAAATCCCGCCCGCTGCCACCGACGTCACTGCTGCGTCACCGGGGCTCCCGCGCTCCCCGCCCCCGCCCCCGCCCCAGCCCGGGCCCGCGCCCCCCGCCCGCTACTCGGGCCCACGCCCCCTGTCCCAGCAAAGGGCCGCGCCCCCGCCCCGCCCCCCCGGAGCCCGCGTGGCCGGGGGACCACTGGAGGGGTCTGTGGGGCGGGGCCGGGGGGTAAATCACTGGGGGGGGGTCTGGGGGGCGCGGCGGGGGGGAGATCACTGGAGGGATCTGCGGGGCGGGGCCGGGGGGGAAATCACCGGAGGGGTCTGGGGCGGGGCCGGGGTTGCTGGAGGGGTCTGGGGACGGGGCCGCGGTCAGCGCGGGCTCCCCGAAGCCTCAGGTACCGCCCTCGCTCGGGGTGAGCTCCAGCGCCTGGGCCGTTGGGGCGCGGGCCGCTTCCCACCCTGCACCAAGGGACGCCTCGGAAGCCTCCGGCCAAGGCGGGGAACGGCGGAGAAACGCGGAATACCTGTGCGAATTCGCGCGGCCGCGTCGCCACTAACCCGGCGAAGGCTGACCCGACGTTGCTGAGTGACGGGGACCAGGGGCCGGCGAGGCCCCCACTCCGGGGGGAGCGAGGCCGGGAGGGCGGAGGGCGCGTGCTGGAGGCGGGGGTGCCCTTCGCGCCCCGGTTCTAGGAGCGACTGCTCTCCAGGCCTCGTCCCTGTGGCACCGCAGGCTTTTGCGCTGGAGATTTTAAAACACTTTAGTGATTACAGCCCTCTTCCTTTCAGGGAAAAAACAGTTTAAGCGCCGTCCATTTTCCGACTTGGTAAAATAATACGAAACCTTGGGAATAGAGAAGCAACGAAAACATTTCACGCAGTGTTGGCAAGATTTGTAGAAAAGGAGGCCAATATTAATTCCCTTTGTGAAAACAACAACATAACATCATGATGAACGATTAGGAAATATTTCGGGAAGATCTGGGCGCCTCATCCTCATCCGCCGTCCACAAGCGGTCCCTGCCACAAAGGACACAGGGCGCGCTTGTTGCTCAGATCCCTGGCCCCACTGGTTGGACCTTGCCCTACACACACGTGTACCTTCTCGGAGCCCAAGGGCCAGATTGGATGCGAACGCGGAGATCACAAAGGCCCGTAAACACGGGGCCAGCAAACACATCGGTTTTTACAAAGCTCTCAAGTGCCCATTTAAGGCACAAAATTAAACCTTGGCAAACCGACGAAGCCAGTCCATGTCCACCTCACAGACTTTTAAAAGTGAGAAAGATATATGAGTACTGCATTGAAAATTCAAGCAAATCCAAACCCTAGCTCATTGTTTTCACCCCAAAATCTTATTTCTCCTGCATTTCCTGCCCACCTCCCGCCCCCGACTGGTTGGCTAAGGCAGAATCCTAGGTTTCCTTTTATCCCAAATCCCAATCTCAATTAATCAATCACAAGGGAAATCAGTGTCTACACTTTCAAGCGCATCATTTCCTTATTTTATCTTTCTAATTGTTACACTATCATTCAAGATAGGATCATGTCAGTTTTAAACAGGAGGAAGAGGTCAGTCAACAAGTGGTTCCAGAGTGGATCCCAAGACCAGTAGAATCAGCGTGTCACCTGGGAATCTTTTAGAGATGCAGACTCCCAGGCCCCACCCAGACCTAAGGAATCAGAAACTCTGGGGGTGGGGCCCAGCAACCTGTGATTCCCCAAACCCTCCAGGTAATTCTGATTCCGTTCATCTCTGGACATCACCCAGGATAGCTGCAGTAGTGTAAAGTCTGGCACCAGGACCCTGGGTATCAGTTTTCTTTCTTCTTATTTATTTATTTTTTTTGCGGAGTGGGAGGGAGTCTCGCTCTGTCGCCCAGGCTGGAGTGCAGTGGCGCGATCTCGGCTCACTACAACCTCCTCCTCCTGGGTTCAAGCGATTCTCCTGCCTCAGCCTCCAGAGTAGCTGGGACTACAGGCGTACGCCACCATGCCCAGCTAATTTTTGTATTTTTGGTAGAGATGGGGTTTCACCGTGTTGGCCAGGATAGTCTCGATCTCTTGACCTCATGAGCTGCCCTCCTCGGCCTCCCAAGGTTTTTCTTCTTTATTCCTAGTCATATCCTTTGTTCTGAAGTCTTCTTTGTTTATATCTATATAACCACTGCAGATTTCTTACTATTAGTGTTTGCATGATATGTGTTTATATCCTTTTAATTTTTAAATCTATCTGTATCTTTTTTTTTTTTTTTTTTTTTTGAGACAGACTCTCGCTCTTGTCGCCCAGGCTGGAGTGCAATGGTGCCATCTCAGCTTACTGCAACCTCCGCCTCCCAGGTTCAAGTGATTCTCCTGCCTCAGCCTCCTGAGCAGCTGGGATTACAGGCGTCCACCACCACACCCAGCTAATTTTTGCCTTTTTAGTAGAGACCGGATTTCAACTTGTTGTCCAGGCTGGTCTCAGACTCCTGACCTCGGGTGATCCTCCCACCTCGGCCTCCCAAAGTGCTGCGATTACAGTCGTGAGTCACCACGCCCGGCCTGTATCTTTGTTCTTAAAAGTGGGATTCTCCATCTTCGTAGGCAGCACAGAGCTGGATCTGCTTTTAAAATTCAGCTTGACGATCTGTCAGCTTGACAACTAATAGTAAAAAATCCGCAGTGGTTATATAGATAAAAACAAAGAAGACTTCAGAACAAAGAATATGACTAGGGATAAAGAAGGAAAACCTTGGGAGGTCGAGGCGGGAGGATCATGAGGTCAAGAGATCGAGACTATCCTGGTCAACATGGTGAAACCCCATCTCTACTTTTAATTGGAATGTTTAGTTCATTTACTTCTTATGTAATTATCATGTGGTTGGGTTTAAAACTACCAACTTGCTATTTGTTTTCTGTTTGTCCTATTCTTCATTCCTTTTTTCCTGCCTGAGTATACTTTAGTATTCCATTTTATCTCAAGTATTGACCTTCATTTTCCTCCTCTTTCTTTGTTCTAGGGTTTATAAAATGCATCTTTAATTTACCGTCGACTACCTTCAAATAACATCATGCCACTTCTTCTTCACTATTAGATTCTTTATAGTGTGTGCTTCCATTCCCCCTCTTCCATCCTTTGTATTATTTTTGTTATATCTCCCTTTTACATAGGTAATAACCCCACAGAACATTATTTTACTTTAAGCTGTCAATTTTCTTTTGAAACATTTAGAAATGATTTTGAAAAATCTTTTATCATTTCTGATGCTCTTCATTTATTTGTGAAGATCCAGATTTCTATCTGATATCATTTCCTTCTGCCTGTAGAACATTTTTTAACCTTCTTTTGGTAATACAGATTGGCTGGTGATTGTCTGTTTTTGTTTTTCTGAATATAAGTATTTTGCCTTTGTTTTTGGAGGATTTTTTTTTTAGATTGACATCTTGAAGAAGTTTAAAGATATCATTCACTGTGCTTGCATACTTTCTCTGAAGAAATCTCCAGGCTAGGCACAGTGGCTCACGCCGGTAATCCCAGCACTTTGGGAGGCCGAGGTGGGTGGATCACCTGAGGTCAGGAGTTCGAGACCAGCCTGGCCAACATGGTGAAACCACATCTTTACTAAAAAATACAAAAAATTAGCTGAGCGTGTTTGTGGGCGCCTGTAATCCCAGCTACTCGGGAGGCTGAGGCAGGAGAATCACTTGAACCCAAGAGGCAGAGGTTGCAGTGAGCTGAGATCACACCACTGCACTCCAGCCTGGGCAACAAGAGTGAGACTCTGTCTCAAAAAAAAAAAAAAAAAAAAAAAAAAAGGAAAAGAAAAAGAAAAAAAAAAAAAAGAAATCTGCAGATCTTTATCCTTTTCCTGGATATGTAATGCGTCTCTTTTTCTATGGCTGATTGTCAAGTTTTCTATCACTGGTTTTCAACAGTGTGATTATGATGTGCCTTGATGTGGTTTTCTTTGTGTTTATGCTGCTTGGTGTTCATTGGATTTCTTGGATCTGTAGGTTTACAATTTTTATCAAAATATATCAAATTAAAAATTTTTCACCCATTATCTTGCTCTTCTCCTTCTGGGACTCCAATCACAGATATGATAGACCATTTGATATTGTGCCATAAGTGCACCACCACACCCAGCTAATTTTTGTATTTCTAGTAGATGCTGTGTTCTTTTAAAGAATAGGGACTTTGTTTTGGAAGGTGGTTATTTACAGATGTTCGATCCTTTTGATGGTTGTCTTAAAGGCTCGTAGCCATTATTATAGGATTAGTTTATTCTAGGACTAGTTTAGCCTTCCTACTAGGGTGTGACTCTTCTGGGGTCGCAGTTGAATGCCTGTGTGTTCAGTGAACTCTTCCCCTTTGGTGGGTTGGAACTCAGATGTATCCGAATCCCCTGTGAGCTCCGAGAATTGTTCAGCTTACAGCTGCCTGTACATTCTTTGCTCAGACCCATGGAGCTTTGTGTTATGCACATACAGCTTAGTATTCAGCCAGAGCCTCCATTGGACCCACAGGCATTACCCTGTAAGTGAAGATAATCAAGGGTGGGCTTCGTTTTTGTGAAAGACATTATCCAAAGACAAAGAAAAGCAACCAGGACTTGGTGGTTTATTTGGGTTTGGAAAGTTTTCCTAAAAACTATTAAGAAAAGAAACAATGAGACATAGTATCTGTCCATCCGGCCTGTGATGCTTGCTTCCTTTCTTCCTTCGTTTCTTCCAAGTATGTACCTAATCTACCCTATTCCAATGACACTGTACGTTGCTCAAAACATTTAAAAAATTCCTCTTTTGGAATTACTTGCAGAATCACGATTTTTTTTCAGTACCTTGTAACTATAACTTGTTTTTGACTAAAATAGTTCTAGTTTTCAGATTCAGCTGTGATGATTTCTGTTTTCAATCTGGATCTCTTCATTGCTGGGCAGCAACCTACTGTATGGTACTCTGTGCCACAAATTCTGGTTTCTCAGCCTCCCCCAAACTCTGGTCTCCATTTCCTCATCTCAGCGTGATTTCTGTACTCTTCTTTGGATCTCCTTCTGCACTGTAGCTACCTTTTAAGTACAGAAAACCAAGACAACAATAAGATTTACTCAGTTCATTTCCCTTCCTTCAGGCATCATATCTTGTGCTGTCTGCTTTCCACACTGAAAATCATTGCCTCATAGATCATCTCGTTTCCCAGTTGTTTTTGATAGCGGGGTAAGTCTGATCTCAGTTTTCCCCAAGTGGACAGAGGCAGAAGTTCCCATTATAGTTTAACCCTCATTTCCCCCCATCCCCTCTTCCACCTCTGTCTCTGACACACTGAGCACTTCCACTCCCTGTCTTCTTATACCTTTGAGTCTTGGTTTCCTTCTACCTTGGCCCAAATCTGGTAAATTTTTGTCTTCAAGATTTATATTTATATATATATATATATATATATATATATATATATATGTTTTTCTTTTTTTTTGAGACAGAGTTTCACTCTTGTTGCCCAGGCTGGAGTGCAATGGTGTGATCTTGGCTCACCACAACGTCTGCTTCCCGGGTTCAAGCGATTCTCCTGCCTCAGCCTCCCGAGTAGCTGGGATTACAGGCATGTGCCACCACGCCCAGCTAAATTTTGTATTTTTAGTAGAGATGGGGTTTCTCCACATTGGTCAGGCTGGTGTCGAACTCCCGACCTCAGGTGATCCACCTGCCTCGGCCTCCCAAAGTGCTGGGATTACAGGCATGAGCCACCATGCCTGGCCAAGATTTTCCTATCTCTTTAATATCTTTGGGAAACCTAATCTGACTGCTCCCCACTTCCCATTTGAGTCACCTTGATATGTAGATGCTTCTATTATAAAAGTTACTTGGTTGTGTCACAGTTCTCTTTTTACATTTCCTTTCTCATCGAGTTCTTTTGAGAGCAGATTCTCTGTCATAAATCTTTGTATCTGGTATGTTGTAGAAGCCCAAAAATGTTAAAAGAATGAGCAACCATGCTCTATGTTTAATGGGACATCAAGAAAAACCATGTACTCATTGATTTGCTTAAATTTAAATTTTTTTTAAAGATTTGGCAAAGGTAGTTTGGTGTATGAGTGGCCTCACTTAGGAAGGAAATTACTAAAAGAACAGCGTTAGCTTTTGAATGTTATTCCTCGATAAAAAGTTCCCAAGCATCAACTGATAACAGGATAATAAAAACTGCAAAATATTGTCTAATATGGAGCGATTTACTGCATAGAGAAAATATAAGGATTACCAGATTGAAAGAGAGACAGGTTGCTTCTGGCACAATTTGTCCCTGAATGATAATGAAACTGTTGGTCTTAAATAGGGCTCTAAATAAGCCTTTTTCAGTGGATCTAAAAGGAGCTTTTGTCGTTTCTGACAGGACATGTGTACACAACTCTTGTCACTTTTATGCTTGTTTTAATATTTGTATAAGAACTATCCCGAGATAAATAAGGAAGAACTGTAATCTACTAAAACGGAGGACAAGAAAAGAGTTAAGAGACCCTTTAGGGGAGTCAAATAAGTTCACTCCAAGGAAAGTGTGTAAGTGAAGATAATCTAGTGTGGGCTTCATTTTTGTGAAAGACGTTATCCAAACACAAAGAAAAGCAAGCAGGACTTGGTAGTTTATTTGGGGTTGGGAAGTTTTTTTAAAAATGATCAAGAAGGACGGGCACGGTGGCTCATGCCTCTATCCCAGCACTTTGGGAGGCCAAGGCGGGCAGATCACCTGAGGTCAGAAGTTCGAGACCAGCCTGACCCATATGGTGAAACCCTATCTCTACTAAAAATACAAAAATTATCCAGGCATGGTGGCACGCACCTGTAATCCCAGCTACTTGGGAGGCTGAGGCAGGAGAATCTCTTGAACCCGGGAGGTGGAGGTTGCAGTGAGCCAAGATCACGCCACTGCACTCCAGGCTGGGCAACAGAGCAAGACTCTGTCTGAAACAAACAAACAAACAAACAAACAAAAAATCAAGAAAAGAAACAGTAAGACATGGTACCTGTCCGTCCGTCCTGTGACGCTTGCTTGCTTTCTTCCTTCGTTTCTCCCAAGTACCTAATCTACCCTACTCCAGTGATACTATGCATTGCTCAAAATCTTAAAAAAATTCCTCTTTTGGAATTACTTGCAGAATCACACATTTTTTTTCAGTACCTCGTAACTGTAACTTGTTTGTGACGAAAACAGTTCTATTTCTCAGATTCAGCTCTGATGATTTTTGTTTTCGAAACTCATAGATGTTCACAAGAGAAAGATTGTCCAACACAAAGTATATACCGAATAATTGGTTGTAATAACTGAGGAAATTTAAAGTTCAGGAGAACACAGTGGCAGAGACTACCAGTTAAACATAAAGCAGTGAGCAGCACCACTGAGCACATGTATCCGTGAGGCGGGGCTGAAGCTGGCTTTGAAATGCCTGCAGCAGGGAACAGAGAACAAACAATGCTTGGGTCTAAAAATGCACATGGTGGAAAGGGTGGTGGAAACAGCTGTTCTTCTAGTCTCCACCTCAGGCTGTGAGACCTTTTACCTCCTAACCCTGTTCTCCAGACCGTTGTAGAAAATAAAATAGCATGTCTAATTCATATCCACGTAGGAGCACAGGTAAGTGGCTTTTACTTGGTTGTAATAAACTACTACTGTGCAGAAAATTGTGTATAGAAACTACATAATGAAGTTACCTAATTACTCATTTGTATTTAGATTATATCAACCACTATGAAAATTATAGCTTAATTTTTACTAAAAGTCTCAGAAAAGACAGTCTTTTTTATTTACCCTTGGAACTGGATTCCAAGGACTTTTACAGCTATTTTAACAAAATTAAAATCTGAGAATGAAACACCAGTTCATTATCATCAGTCTTCAGAAGTTTTGGTAAGACCTGTTTACTTTACTTTGGCAATGAGCCAAACTTTGCCACGAGACAACCTTTTTCAAACTCATCTCTCATTAACTTCCTTCATGAAGGAAGAAACGAACTCAGCTCTTGAGCAGGAATATTGTAGCCTAGTCTCAAATGATCTTCTAGTCATTTTGGCCTCAAAGGACACACTGTATTATTTAATTTCTCTCAAACAGCTGAGTTGCAACCCAGTGTCCCCAAAGTGGCAAGATATAGTTTTCTGTTGTCACATGACACATGATATAGGTGGCACCTCTTTCTCAACTCAATGTGCATATACGTGTATATGTTTGGTATCGGCAAATGTAGCTGCCTTAATTGTGCAGTTGAAAACGACTGGGGGAAATCCTGCATGCAACATGAAGCTTTTGCAATACTCCACAATACCAGTTTGTGCTCAACCTACAAGCTCTTTTGCTACCTTTGACCTCAGTGGTGAATTGTTCTCTCCAGTAGCAGTTGTTTTGTTTCCTTCCCATCTACCCTCCAACTGCTAATGCTTTTCAGTTGGTCTTTCTGCTTCAAGGTTTTAAGCTCATTAGGTTTTAAAGTGCTTTGGCTTCATAGTACATGGAGTGTTATCCTGAGAAGGAGTACAATGAAAAAATAATATAGCTGACCAAGATGTGAGACAGTTTGGGACAAACTGGGGACACCTGAAGGATAATCAGCAAAGAGGGCCTGCAACATGCATAATCCAAGAACTCCCATTGTTCTGCAATTACTGATAAAAAATGTTCACTCGTTGAGTTTGTTTCCTCTCATTTTTATATACGTTGGCCTTGCCAGGTGCAGTGGCTCACGCCTGTAATCCCAGCACTTTGGGAGGCCGAGGCAGGTGGATCACCTGAGGTCAGGAGTTTGAGACCAGCCTGGCCCACATGGTGAAACCTCGTCTCTACTAAAAATACAACATTAGCTGGGCGAGGCTGCAGGCGCCCGTATTCCCAGCTACTGGGGAGGCTGAGGCAAGAGACTCACTTGAACCTGGGAGGCGGAGGTTGCAGTGAGCCGAGATTGCACCCTTGCACTCCAGCCTGGAAAACAAAAGTAAAACTCTATCTCAAAAAAAAAAAAAAAAAAATCGGCCTTGTAGCTTTTTTTTTTTGCTTTTCCCCTCAGAACATAAACACGTCATCCAAAATAGTGAGAAGCAGGTCACCAGGCATGAGCTCTTTTTTTTTTTAATTGTTTTTTTTTTTTGAGACTGAGTCTTGCTCTGTCGCCCAGGCTGGAGTGCAGTGCTCACTGCAACCTCTGCCTCCTGGGTTCAAGCGATTCTCATGCCTCAGCCTCCCCAGTAGCTGGGATGACAGGCCCGTGCCACCACGCCTGCCTAATTTTTGTATTTTTTAGTAGAGATGGGGTTTCACAATGTTGGCCAGGCTAGCCTGGAGCCCCTGAGCTCATGATCCGCCCACCTCAGCCTCCCAAAGTGCTGGGACTACAGGCATGAGCCACTGCGCCCGCTGCATGAGCTCTTTCGAGCTGGAAAGAATCCCGCTCCCCTCCCTTCCCCACCCAGCCTCTAGCCTCGGGCTTGCACAGAACTGGCGTTCAGTGAACATTGTGGAAAGGGTGAGTCCAACTGAGACTTTCAGGTAAAGAGGGGACATCTGGGTTGGCAGGCTCACACCGACAAAATGCTACTGCTCAGTTCTCTTTGGGACAGACACCTAGGAACAGGAATGCTGTAGTCTTGAGAATCTTAAAATACCACAGATGCAAAGCAGAAAGAAGGGCAGCCCTCGGGCCCTTGGACTGCTGTTGTTGACGTCACCCACCGTTTTCACTCCCACCCTCACCCACCAAGAAGCTGAGACAGGGACAGGATGTTCTTTCCTTCCCTGGGCCTTTGCTGATGTTCCTGCCCCAGTTATTGAACATGTATTATCTGGAACACATCTGCCCCCATCTTCACCAAATTTCCGATCATTCATTGGGTTTCAACAGAAATTTCAATTTTTCTTTTTTGAGACGGAGTCTCGTTCTGTTGCCCAGGCTGGAGTGCAGTGTCAAAATCTCAGTCACTGCAACCTCTGCCTCCCAGGTTCAAGCAATTATCCTGCCTTAGCCTCCCAAGTAGCTGGGACTACAGGCGCCTACCACCATGCCTTGCTAATTTTTGTATTTTTAGTAGAGATGGGGTTTCATCATGTTGGCCAGGCTGGTCTCTAACTCCTGATCTCAAGTGATCTGCCTACCTCACCCTCCCAAAGTGCTGGGATTACAGGCATGAGCCACCACGCCTCACCAAAAATTTCAATTTTTCAAGAGGCTTTCTAGATCACCTCAATCTAAATAAAGTCCTTCCTCTTACATTCTTTCAGAGTACCCTATATTTTACCTAACACTTACCATGGTTTGTAACTGTACATATTGTGTGTTATTTATGGTGGTTTCTCCACCAGCCTGTAACCTCCAGGAGTGCAGGGGACCACCGTGCTTTGTGCAGCACGATATCCTCAGCACTTGGTACAGTGCCTGGCACCTGGCAAGGGCTCAATATAGATCTGCTGTGGGGTCGGGGGTGGGCAGATGGTTTTTTCTTTAAAATGAGCGGTTTGATCTTGGGACTAGTGTCCACACCATCTAAGGGTAGTAAAGGTTGAAACATAAAATTTTAGTACAAAAACCACAATAAGAAATGAAAGTTAGGCCGGGCGTGGTGGCTCACACCTGTAATCCCAGCACTTTGGGAGGCCAAGGCAGGTGGATCACGAGGTCAGGAGATTGAGACCATCCTGGCTAACACGGTGAAGCCCCGTCTCTACTAAAAATACAAAAAAAAAAAAAAAAAAAAAAAAAGTTAGCCGGGCGTCGTGGCACACTCCTGTAGTCCCAGCTACTTGGAAGGCTGAGGCTGGAGAATCGCTTGAACCTGGGAGGCGGAGGTTGCAGTGAGCTGAGATCGTGCCACTGCACTCCAGCCTGGGCGACAGAGCTAAACTACATCTCAAAAAAAAAAAAAAAAAAGAAAGTTATCTTTTTCTAGTGATATAAATGCATAGTGGAGCTAAAGACAGAACCTATGTGGGTTACACAGAAAGCCATCGATTTGAGATCTGCTCATAATATTTAAATAGCTTAAAGAAGAGGTGTTTACATCTATTTTTATGAAATTTATTTCCAAATTGAAGAGGCAGTGTATATAAAGGTAACAGAGCTTGTGATAATTTACAGAAATGTTTGCTACAACATGCACATTATGAAGTATTTCAAACATATACATATTAGGTTTCATGCTGAATAAATAATCCCCCCAAATTAATTTTTATTTTTACATAAAAATATAATATTGCACTCTTAACAAGACCAGTTATTCTGCATATTTTCTCTTTAGATAAATGATGAAATTCGGTTTTTAAAAAAAGATGAGTAGCAACCCTATTCTAATAGGGGACTAATTTAAAGTTCTCAGTAAAAAAATGAAAGCTAGACAATAGCTGCAATTTTTTGTTAACAAAGCAAATCACTTCAACGTGAATAGGAGTAATCTCATCTCTGCACCTCCATGGACCTCAGGATTCACACCTGGCCTGAGCACACGGTGATCTAAATGCAGCCTAGGTATCACTACATGTGTATGCAGTTTAAGGTTAAAGCATACATGGCCACGTGCTTTCTCTCGAATCTATCTTGACAGCAGAGACTTTGGAATTATATTTTATATGGTTTTTAAGCAGAATGTTTTAGAAAGTCTGGAAGTTACAAAAGTAGTACTGTAAACACCATATGAATTAAATTTCCATAACAAATGCACAAGTTATTCTTAGGCAGGGATACATATTTTTATCCCATGGTAACATATTACTGAGCTTATCTGACAGTGTTTTCAAAGCCAATAAAGCAGCACCCCAAGTAAAAATATACAGACAGCCATCATATGGGAGAGACAGACGGCTCCAAGATGTTTAGGAATTCTGTCTTTATGGTATGTAAGTTTGCTGTGGAATACACGAGATTTTATTATTCTTCCTAGAATTCTCAGATGGTATAGGTTAGTAGAAACAGAATGAAATGGTTTCCTAAAAGAATTATTCTGCCTCCTGTTTAAAGTAAGCTTTTATAATTCTGTTTTGGGGAAGAAAATTCTTCCTGCAGATTAGATCAAATGCCTTATTTAGGCTGTGTTCTTAATACCCATGCAAACTTCTTGCATACTGAAGGCTTTCTATTGCAAATTGGTACAGATTCAATGCTCTGTAAATAGCAGACTTTAAGACTTACCATTGTGTTTAAACCTCAGTGACTCAACTAAGGATAGTCAATATCTAGCGTTACAGATTTTAAGTAAAATTTTTATGAAGAAACAGAATGTGTCTGAAATCCAAGATACCTGTATTCTTGTTTGTGGCTGTCAAAAAAATTCTGGTTCTCCTTTGAGCTAAGAAAGCAACTGGCAAAAACTGCCTAATTTTGAGATTCATTCATAGTTTATTTTAGTATTTAGATATTCCATAAAATATTTGGTACAGAGGCACCTACTGAATAATTTGCTTCTCAAAGAAAGCAATTATCAAGTCCTAAAAATTATCTTTTTTTCTTTCCTCTTTTGGAGCATGTGTGTGTGGTGGGAGGAGTATTTCATGGCAGTAAACTTTTAAAATATAATTTTAGTGTGTTTTATATAAACAATCAACCAACCAATTTAAATTCTACTGGTCCTTTTGGAATCATAGAAAAAGGGGAGACCTTAATATTTTCTTTGGAATACCTTGGTGGGAAAAAATTTTAAGAATATCATTTTAATGTACCATGCGAGGCTTAAAACTTGTTGGCTAGTGCATATTGACACAATCTTCCAGATTATCACTAAAATAGAACAGAACTTTCCTCTTAGGATCATGTGACTCTTCAGAATTTTGTGCAGATGAATAGACTTTATCATTATTTGGATGGTTTGTCCAGTCATCCATTTCTTTAGGTTCAACCTCCTAAAACTGGTGAAGTCAACAAATCTAGTTTGGAGTTAAAGTGCTTTGGAGAACGTGAAGTTCATTCGCATTCACCCGGCTGCATAGCTGCTAAGGAAGGAATAGAACATTGGCTGTTTCAAGCGCTGCTGGTCCTTCCGACACCAGGCAATCACGGTCCCATCACTGTTTGCTGTGTACAAATGGTGGCCATCACAAGAAAATGTAAGGCTGTAAAAAAAAAAAAATTCCCATTTGTACATTATATTTCTTAAAAGTGTATTAGCATATTGGTCATCATACTGAGGTTAGTGTAAAGAAGTTATCTTCAGTGGCGCAGAGAGACATAAACTAAATGACTGCCTACAACTCATTGGTTTTGACTGTAATTCTAACATAGTCACTCTGCTGACAAGTTGAGATGCTCATAAATGCGGTGATATAGAATAAAATCAGGATCACAAAGCTCAGTACATTCTATTCTTTGCATATCTTCTTTTGCCTCCTTGTTTATGCTTTATTACATAAACAACAAATATTTGGGTGTACAAAACTTTTAAAAATATAACAGTACTATATTTTCTCCTTATAAAGATAAATAAGTATTTTATGGCTATATATTATTTCCCTAAAAGAGAAAAGGAAAAAAATGTAACATTAGTAATTAATTTAGGTTCCTTAAACTTTAAATTTAGTACACTGAAAATACATTTAATTTAATAAAGTAAAATTTGAATCACTTTATTTCTAATTATTTAAAGTCAAATTTGTTAACTAAGCAAAGAGTAACTGATTATTTATCTATTTTGTCAAGCACCCCTGCAGCTATCAATCACCATTATGGTCTTGTCAAATATGAAAGGAAAAAATACAGTCTCTATGATTCCAGAGACACACTACAAGCATGCCTTTCCACTAGACTCTGAGTCACTGACTCGGATTTTAAGCTCCATGAAGACAAGGAGTGTGGTCTCTCTTGCTGCTGGGTCACGGACAACCCGCTGTGTGTTAAGTGGTTGGCTTTTCATGATGACTTCAATTGCACATTTCTTTAAGTCTGTGTGCTTAAATACCTCTCTACGAAAAATACAATCACAAATTGTATTCTGAAGCATAAGAGGGGGAGAAGATCTTACCTGATGATGGGCTTATTTGATTTGGGAAATGTAATTTCTCTCACAGGCTTTAAGTCCCATGTGCTCCATAACCTAGAGGGGAAAAAAATCATCTAATTATGCAAACTAAAATTACTCTCCCTAAAAAGCCCTCTATATTTGTTTATTTGTTAAAAATCATGTGGAAGGAAATGTAACAAACAATTAACAGTAGTTCCCTCTAGGGAGTTTGCAGGGGGTAGATGTGGGAATAAGAGAACTTTTAACTTTGTATACTTCCATACTGTTAATCTTTTATAGTTAACATAAAACTTCAAAACTGTGCTAAAGCTATCTTTATTATTTAGAAATAAAACAGGAATAACTAAAGAACCTACACCCCAAGGTGAGTTTAAATCTCTAAATACTGAATATTAATATGCCTAGATATTAAAAATTAATTTCTGAAACTCCTGTGTCCTTATGAATGAAATCAAAAAAAGAGAATCCAAATTCCTCTTACCTTACAATTCCATTTTCTAATCCCCCAGCGATTACATTGATAGATACTCCCTCAGGCTGGTTGGAGAAAGCCACGGAACAGATGATCTCCCTGCAGTGGACATGTCCAACGAGATCCCCGTTCACCGTCCAGAGTCTGAGGTCACTGCCTCCGCCAGCTAAAACACCCAAATCATCCGGCGGGTTACCAGAATGTGGCTGTCTCAGAGCCCACATTTGGCCCCAGAAGGGCAACCCTGAAGGGCAAGCTCATTTGTTTATTGATGAAGTTTGTAGACAACCCATGACTGAAGACTGTATAAATGAAATTACTACACAAGTTGCACAGATTTTTCTTTTTCATTTTCTTTTGAGACAGAGTCTAACTCTGTCGCCCAGGCTGGAGTGCAGTGGTGTGATCTTGGCTCACTGTAACTGCCTCCTGAATTCAAGAGATTCTTCTGCCTCAGCCTTCTAAGTTGCTGGGACAACAGGTGCACGCCACCACATCCGGCTAATTTTTATATTTTTAGTAGAAATGGGTTTTTGCCATGTTGGCTAGGCTAGTCTTGAACTCCTGACCTCAAGTGATCAGCCCACCTCGGCCTCCCAAAGTGCTGGGATTACAGGCGTGAGCCACTGCACCAGGCCAAGTTGCATAGATCTTTATGTATTAATCAAGAGACAATAACCAGCGAAAAAATAAAAATAAGAAGAAGCAATCTATGTGTACAGTAACAAGGTAAAATAATCATCTTTGTGTAATTGTAATATTTCAGCATATGAACCACCAAATATGAGTTATGATTGAAAATACTTGGAAAGCTAAACAGTCTCCAAAAAGTGAAGGAAATATTCTGTGAAACCATCTATAAGAAGTGACTTGGCCAGGCGTGGTGCCTCATGCCTGTAATCCCAGCACTTTTGGAGGCCGAGGCGGGTGGATCACCTGAAGTCAGGAGTTCGAGACCAGCCTAGTTAACATGGTGAAACCCCATCTCTACTAAAAATACAAAAAAATTAGCCAGGGGTGGTGGCGGGCGCCTGTAGTTCCAGCTACTAGGGAGGCTGAGGCAGAAGAATCACTTGAACCCAGGAGGTGGAGGTTGCAGTGAGCCGAGATAGTGCCACTGCACTCCAGCCTGGGCGACAGAGCAGAGACTCTATCTCAAAAAAAAAAAAAAAAAAAGTGACTTATGTGACTTTTGAAGAAAAAAAAAGGTGTAGTAAAAATTACCTGAGTTAAAACTTAATTCTTAAAAAAAGAAGAAAAAGTATTCTTCAGAACATCTAAGATTAAATCTTATAAAGCAATACCTTATTAATTTTTTCTTTTCAAAGATTACAGAGTAACCAAAAGTTTTTCTTTTAGTTTTCTGGGGTTGGGGGAAGCATAATTGCCTGCCATGCTTTATAAACAGGATGGTTTGGGGGCTGATGATGATATGTCCAGCCTTCTCTGGGGAAATACTCTCATACTGATAAAGCGGTTAGGAGGCACGATAAAGTTTGATGACATAGTCTCACTACATTTAATTTTATCTTTTCATTACATATAAGTAGAGGCTTTGCTTCTGTCTTTTATTAAGACAATGAAAATATTTCATATTTTATAGCAAAGAAACATATAAACAATGCTTCTTTATTTAAAAATATGCCAAAGACCGCCAAATACCACAGATCAAAATGCCCAGTGTGTTGCAGCATTATTCACAATAGCCAAGAAGAGGAAACAACCTAAATGTCTATCAACAGATGCATAAACAAAATGCAGTATGTACATACACACACACACACACACACACACACACACACACACACACACACAATTTTCTTTAGCCGTAAAAAGGAATGAAGCATGCGAAAACATGGATGAACCCTGAAAACATCATGCTAAGTGAAATAAGCCAGACACAAACAGACAGGTACTGTATGATTCCACTTACATAAAATATCTACAATGGGCAAATTCAGAGAGATAGAAAGTAAAATAGAGGTTACCAGGGGCTGGAAGCTGAGGGAGGAGGAATGGGGAAATAGTGGTGATGGCTGCACAACACTGTTAATATAATTAATGCCACTGAACTGAATACTTAAAAAATGGCTGGAATGGCAAATTTTATTTAAATATACATTGAGACACACATGCACACACACACACACATACACACACACACACACACACACACACACATGCCCAATGTTCTACTAAGTTTTCCCATTGTAGAACATTGATTATATCTAAATATAGCATCAAGATGCAGGAGACTCAGTATGCTAAAGAAATAGAATTATAGACAATATTTTCCATGAGTAGGCTACATTTCAACCTTTCTTTTGAATTAAATGTTGGCTAAAATATTTTTTTAAAAGATAAAATAATTAGATAAGTACTAGTAAGGCTAGAAGGCTCATTGAAGTCACTGGAAACATAGCCATAAAAGATATTGAGGTAGGGGTTTCTCGCTGTAACCCATAGCTACCACTACTGCATGGCTTAATCCTTCAAAATAAAAAATCTAAATGTGGGCCTGGACTCTCAAGTATGGCCTGGAACTTAGTAGCCAAAGAATTATCCTAGCAGCTCACTCAGTAACTTGGGCTACCACAAAACCAAATAACTACTCATCTGCCTACTTCTGTAAGTATCAAAATTTGACAGTTACCCAATACCAGATTGCTCGAATGTATAATTTAACACATCAACTAAAAGTCAGAAACCTAGGCATTCCTAAAAAGCATCTCTATCCTTCGTATACACAGTCATGAAAATCAAAATAAATTAAAGAACCACCCCACTGTGAATCTTAGAATATTTTACTAACTCTATCTTGCCATTGGCAACAGAGGACCAGGCTATGGATGTCTCACCTTAGTTCAAAGGCATATATTTTGATCCAGTGATAGAATGGTAAACACACATACAACCCCCCCAGAAATCACTGATTACATTTTCACAGTTTAATACATTTCACATCTTATCACTATAAAAACCATATCCCATCATAAGAACTGAGAAATTATGATCAGGAGGAATGAGCTTGACAATGTAACTTTTGAGAAGATGTTACACATACAGCACAGGCACATAATATAGTTGTCCCTAGGTATCTGAGAGGGATTGGTTCCAGGACCCCTGAGGATATCAAAATCCATGGATGCTCAAGTCCTTGATATAAAATGGTGTAGTATTTGCATATAACCTCTGCACATCCTCCTGTATTCTTTTTTTTTTTTCTTTTGAGATGGAGTCTCGCTCTGTTGCCCAGACTGGAGTGCAGCGGTACAATCTCAGCTCACTGCAACCTCCGCTTCCTTCAAGCGATTCTCCTGCCTCAGCCTCCTGGGTAGCTGGGACTACAGGCGAGTGCCACCATGTCTGGCTAAATTTTTGAATTTTTAGTAGAGATGGGGTTTCACTGTGTTAGCCAGGATGGTTTTGATCTCCTGATCTCGTGATCTACCCACCTCGGCCTCCCAAAGTGCAGGGATTACAGGCATAGCCACCGTGCCTGGCCTCCTCCTGTATTCTTTAAATCACCTCTAGATTATTTATAATACCAAATACAATATAAGTGCTATATAAATAGTTGTTATACTGTATTGTTTGGATAATAATAAGAAAAAAGTCTGTACATACTAAGTACAGATGCAACCATTCATTTTCCTCCCCAGATATTTTCAATCTGAGGTTGGTTGAATCCACGGATGTGAAACCCACAGATACAAAGGATTGTCTGTACGTATATACATACATAGACATATATATATATATTTTAATTTTAAGATCACTTGGATGATATCCAATAAATAGTCAAAATTTTTGATAGGTTAAATCTGATAACTTTCTTTCCTTCTTGGCCTACAAGAAAATAGGAGGATGAACTCTAGTCTGGGTCGCTACAGATAAATTTGACCTCTCTTTAAAAAAGTAATTTAAAAAATTATGTTCCCTATATACCAAGTGCTCTTTATGATTTCTTTTATATATGTATCAAGAGACCTTAAAAAAAGTTGACAAGGCCTTTTTGTTCAAATTGGAAAAAAGTTTTACCCATTACTCTATTATATTGTGTGCTACCCAGGGACACCTGAATACCCTACTAGTGAGTTGGTAATTGCAGAAAAAGTAATTTTGTTTCTCATTCTCATATGACTAGCTGATATAATATCACAGATATAAATCACTACTGGCAGCAGGAAAGTAATTAACTTTACAAAATTCAACTCCCTCAGGATCAGTCCTAACTTTCAAACACTGCCAAAACAAGAAAGTAGAGAACTCCATATAAACAATCATTATATTATTTCCCCAGTATTCCTCTTGATATGACACACTAAAAGCTGCTAATGCACAAATCAAGGAAATAAAAAATCATCAATCATTTGCGCAAACTTGTACTACCAAAGTCAACTCTTTAAGATCTTTTCCCTTTGTTATAATCATTAGGAAATAAAAATGTTTTCATGACATTATTTTACAACTGGGGGCTAAGACTAGCAAAAATTCTTTCATATCTGAAATCTAATCATGACTGAAGATATTACTTCTCCTGAACACAAGAATAGATGAATGTTTTGTAGAAACAACAATAACAAAACCCTAACAGGTATCTGTGGTATAATGAAAAATAAGTATTTGGTCTTTGTCCCTGGTTCCTGGGACAGAGTCCCTAAAGCCCTTGGAATTTACTGTCTTCTGTATGCTAATGAGATGACTCTCAGTGGGCAGGACTACATAGCTTCAGTCTAGAGGCTGGTCACCAGAAAAATCAACCACATGATTGAGGACTGAAACTTCCAGATACCCCCCAACTCTCATGCCCACCTCCTGGTGAGGCAGGAGAATAGGGTCTGGAGGCAGGGAACCTAAGACAGTTTCACACTCACTTCCTAGAACTAAATTCAAAGGAAAACCCTAACTTTCCAGGCCTAAAGAACAAAAGGACCAGAGGCTACTCCCTTTGCAAAACTCCCACGTTTTCTGCTGGCAGATGGGAAATTGGCTGTCTGCAACCAATCAAACTGATTGTGGGTGGAGTCTTCATTTGCAACTTTGTAACTTCACCTTAGCCTACGATTGGTTGCAAAAAGCAATCAGATGTTTCCACAGGAGTGTGACCTTTGTAACTCCATTTAAGCTTCTGATTGGTGGTTTTAGGCAACCCATCAGACTGATTGTGGGATACCACTTCATTCACATGACGTGAGCATAAAGTGGCCAATGGGAAACCTCCGCAGGGTATTTGTACCCAAGAAGATTCTATATCCAGGCCCTTGAGCCGCTGCTTGGGTCCACTTCCACACTGCCGAGTGTACTTTCATTTTCAATAAATTCCTGCTTTTGTTCTTTTGTTGCTTCATGCTTTCTTTGCTTTGCTGGGCATTTTGTCCAATTCTTTGTTCAAAACACCAAGAACCTGGACAACTTGCAGTCAACACCCTCTACCAGTGACACTGGGAGCAGAGTGGGGGGTGGGGATTGACCTATGTAACAAAACCTTCATAAAGTTCCTAAATGACAAGGGTAGGAGCACTTCTGGGTTGGTGAACACAACTATGTCAGAAATAATAAGTTTCTCTTCAAAGCTCCCTTGGTCTTTCTTGCTCTGTACACAGGCCCCACCCCTTGCTTAATTTGTAATTAGCAAACCTCTATATGCCCAGACATGCCCAGACTTGTTCTGTAAACTACCTTTCCCACCTTAGCAACAGTCTCTTCCTCCCCTCCTCTTGCAAACGGCATATTTACCATATGTAGAAAAGTTTAAGTCTTAGCCAATAATTGGGTTAGATTGTTCAGTCCAACTCAAGCCAATGGGGAGAGGACACAGTAACAGGAGCTGCGTTAGGGATAAAAACTTTTCTCTCCTTTGTTTGGTATGCTCTTGCAATCAGACGGATGCAGGCAGCACCCTTCTGCAGAAGTAAATGTGCCTTGCTGAGAAATGTTCTGTCTAAGTGCTGGCTTTTCTTTGAGGCACTGAGCACTTGTTTCTAACAAAATGGGGGCACATCTGGGATCCCATTCTCCTCCGGAGAAGGGTCTCCAATCATCTCTTGTGAGGAGACGTGTCTCACTGCAGCAGCCTCAAGAATGAGGGATTGAGACCCACCAGCATGATGAATATACCGAGACTCTCAGCAACATGGAAGGAAAAGGCCTACAGATGCCATGGTGACCAAGTAATTCTGTGCACAGACCAAGGTAAGAAAAGCCGCAGGGGCAGTGAAGTACTTCTTTGGTGGTTGGGACATCCTGGAGGTTGAAAGTATGTGAATGAGATGCACAATTAAGTGCAAAGCGAGTGTGGAGTAAAGTAAAGGAGTGCAAGAAACCTCCAGTGGGGAGGGGGGTTAAGTCTCCAGGGAAAGGGTGCAAGAAATCTCTAGTAAGAGAGGTTGAACCCCATACAGTCAGGAAACTCAGGGACACATCTAAAACTTCCAGGATGGGAAATAACCCTAGTAAAACAAAAACTACAAAGAGCAAAGCAGATAATATGATTCCCTCTGATAACCCTCTAAGTCTCATGTTAAAATATTGGAAAGATAATGAAAAGACAGTAAACCTGAGCTCTATTTGGGAAAAGAAATGGAGCTAGTATTTAAACTATTTATTTTCACAAGGATTACAGGCACCTGCCACCACGCCCAGCTAATTTTTGTATTTTTAGTAGAGACAAGGTTTTGTCATGTTGGCCAAGCTGGTCTCAAACTCTTGACCTTAAGTGATCCACCTGCCTCAGCCTCCCAAAGCGTTGGGATTACAGGTGTGAGCCACTGCACCCAGCCCAAAGTACCTGTTTTTATGGAGTTTACATTCCAATGGAGAAGACAAATAATAACAATATAAGCAAATATATCAACTGCTATAAATAAAAGGCAGGGAATAGGGATAGAATGCATTGAATTTTGTCAAATGCTTTTTTCTGTATCTTTTGAGATTATCATATGGCTTTTGCTCTTCATTCTGTTAACATGATATATCACATTTACTGATTTGTATATGTTGAATCATCTTTACATCCCAGGATGAATCCCACTGGGACAGAATGTGGGGAGGGTTAATACTTTAGATAAGATGGCTTGGAGAAGCCTGTTTGAAGAGATAACATATGCAGAGGCCCCAGTGAGGTAAGCATATGAGCCATATAAATATTTAGGGAAAAAGCATTCTGGACAAAGGTAAAAGCAAGTGAAAAGGCCCTAAAATGTAACTTACTTGGCATGTTTAAGGAATAACAAAGAGGTCAGTGAGGTTATAGCATAGTGATTAAGAGAGAAGAATAGTAAGAAGTGACATAAGGAAGAAAGCCAGGTCCTTATAGCCTGGCGTAGATATGTAAATGGGAAGCAATTAGATTAAGAAGAGGATGACATAATTCGATTTACCTTTATGAAATATAGAGCTACAGTGTGAAAGTTAGACTGAAAAAGATTAAAGAGGAAAGCAAAGACCAGTTAGGTTATTATAGTGTTCTAGGTAACAGTTTTGGACTAGTGTGATAGATGTTAGGGTAGGAGAAGTTAGAAGTTAGATTCAGACTCTATTTTGTAAGTAGAGAAGATAATGTCTGCTAATAGCTTGGATATAAGGAGAAAGAAGGAGAAGAGTAAAGGATGACTCAGGTTTTTGACCTGTCAACTGGGTGAATTCTGAAATTCAGAGATGAGGCATACCAGAGAAGGAACAAGTTTGGAGGAATGTAGAATCAAGTTTTGTTTTGGCTGTGTTAAGTTGAAAATGCTGTGTAGGCAATTAGATATCCAAGTCTGGATTTCAGGGTATAATTTGGAACTGGAAAAATAAATTTAGGAGTCATTAGGGAATAACCATGACTTTGGATAAGATCACCTAGTACAGCTAGAGAAGAGAAGGTAGCAAAAGACAAGAGACCTAAGGTATGCCATCGTTAAGAAGTAGACAAAAAGAGGAGGAACCAGCAAAAGACTGAGAAGGACCCACCAGTGACCTAGAAGAAAAATCAGGAGACTAGTATTCTGAAAGCCACCAGAAGAAAGTGTTTCACAAAAGGGAGGTAGTATTGAATGGTGTGGAATGTTGCCTGTATACCTAGAAAAAAGCAACTTTGGCTGCTTTTTAAGTGAATGTGATAGAGTTTGTACTGCAAATAACTTTCCATATTGCTTTTCAAATCATGATATTTTAGTTCTTAAGATCATGTAGAACTTTCCATTGTGAAAAGGGATTTGATTACTTTTATAACTAAAGAAACTTTTCTAAACTTAATTAAAAAAAATTAATTCTAGAAACTCGATTACCATGGACTAAGTGTTTTCCCGTTACCCTATTAAGAGTCTGAACTGCTCACTAGAAAGATATCGGCTTATCCCCGTATAAAATGCTTTATAGGTTGCCTTATTTAAATTCCACTACTGACCTCCCAACATTTGAGACAAAGGATCAGTTTCTTAGAAACTATGTATTTAGTCTGTCTTCCACCCTTTACTCACTCCCTCAAGACTCAAAGCCTCCTAGCACAAACTCCACCCCTCAAACTCCCAGTTCACCGACACCAACCCGGAGATCACATCCTTATCAGAAGTTGCAAAGAGGGAAAGCTCGAGCCCATCTGGGAAGGAACTTACCTGGTGCTCTTAACAACTGAAACAGTAATCCAAACTGCTGAAAAAGGGTAGACCCATTATACCCGAGTCAAGAAAGCACTGCCCTCTTCAAAGCCATGGACCACTGTCCCAGGGCCAACTCCCACCAAAGCAATGTTAAAAAGAAAAGTCTAATCAGTCTGTCTCTTTTTTTTTCTCTTCTCTTTCCCTTAACCACCCCCTCCATTTTATTATTAATGTAACTAAGTCAAGCTCACCCCAAAATATTACTTTTAATGCTTGTTTTGTTATACCCTGCAGGAACCTTCAACGCCAAAGAGAAATAGCATCAGAAAAATACCTCTGCCCCTCCAGGGAAGCCACTACCGCCCCCTTATCCCGCCTATGGTGGGGAGATCAGCACTCTCTCCCCAATTTATGTTCTCAATGGGCATATGTTGTTTAGACCACCAAAAATCAAGGTTAGACATCCTCAGATGATTGCACCACCCTAAAGCCTTACCTCCATTTCACCGAAGGAGTCACCGCCCCCCACAACTGTCACACCCACCAGTGCAACCCACTACTCATCTCTATTACTATCCCTACCTCTAGCAACTCTAACCCCACCTTAGGTGCTTCTATGGTCTAGGAGAAAATGCCGTTAGAAAGGACTCTACAGGCTTCTTTGAAATGCGCTTTGTTTCTTCCCCGCTATCCTCTATTGTTACCCCTTCCCCAAGCCCATCCAATCAAACCATCTACCATTTCATGCCCAATGACAAAACCAAAGTAGTTATAATAAAAGTCAAGGATTTAAAACAAACTTTAGCCATAACAACTGGGTACCAAGATATAAATGCCTGGCTGAAATGGATTAAATATTCCGCTCACACCTTAAATAAAAGCGATTGTTGCGCTTTTGCAACAGGCAGAGCAGAGACCCAAATCGTCCCCTTTCCACTTGGATGGTCCTCCGACCCACAGAATATGAACTGCATAGCAGCTCTCTTCCAAGACCCCACAGCCCGGGGCAATAAGGCATGCCAGTCTCTCGTTACTATTCCCAGAAGTTACAGGCTCTGTGGGTCAGCCCTCCAGAGCTATTTGGCCTCCAAGTAACAATGTCAATTTTACCTTGTGTCTCTCACGACAGGGGGAATATTTGGCATTCCTTGGAAGCCTAACAGGACGCAGTGAATCTAAGCCTTTTCAAGAGTTAACCAGCCTGTCTGCCCTTGTTTTCATCCCCAAGCGGATGTATGGTAGTATTGTAGTGGACCACTATTAAGTACTCTGCCAAGCAAGTGGAGTGGCATTTGCGCTCTAATCCAATTAGCCATCCCTTTCACCCTGGCATTTCATCAACCAAATAGAAAGAACAATCGTAAAAAAAAAAAAAAAAGTGTCCCCCTCGGGTCTTTTGATCGTCACATATATATAAATGCTATCAAAGTTCCACAAGAGGTGCTAAATGAATTTAAAGCCAGGAATCAAATAGCTGCAGGATTTGAATCTATATTGTTCTCATGGGTAACTGCAAGCAAAAATGTAGACTGGATAAATTACGTTTATTATAATCAACAGTGGTTTGCTAACTATACTAGGGATGCCATTAAAGGAATAGCTGAACAATTAGGTCCTACCAGTCAGATGGCTTAGGAAAATAGAATAGCCCTTAACATAATATTGGCCAAAAAGGGCGGGGTCTGTGTCATGATTGGAGTCCAATGTTGTACTTTTATCCCTAACAACACAGCCCCCAGTAAAACAATCACAAAAGCCCTACAGGGCCTTACCACCCTAGCAAATAAATTAGCCGAAAAGTCATAGAAAAATGGTTTAGAAAATAGAAAGGACTCATAACATCAATCTTTATCCCCCTTGCAATTGTTATCAGTGTACTCATTCTTGTAAGTTGCTGCATCATACCTTGTATTCGTGGATCAAGGCAAAGGCTTATAGAAAAAGCTCTTACCAAAACCTCTCTCGATTCTCCCCCGCCCTACTCAAATAAGTTCCTACTCTTAAACAACCAAAAGGAACTACAAAGCCAAGAGATGTTAGAAAAATTTAAGGACTCTGAAGAGGAAGAAGTATAACATCAAAAGGGGGAAAAGTGTCAGAAATAATAAGTTCCAAGCTCCCTTGGTCTTTCTTGCTCTGTAAACAGCCCCCACCCTTGCTTATTTTGTAACTAGCAAACCTCTATATGCCTAGACATGCCCAGACTTGTTCTATAAACTACCCTTCCTGCCTTAGCAACAGTCTCTTCCTCCCCTCCTCTCGCAAACTGCATGTTTATCATAGTTAGAAAACTTTAAGTCTTAGCCAATTGAGTTAGTTAGATTGTGCAGTCTGACTCCAGCCAATGGCGAGAGGATACAGCAACAGGAGCTGTGTTAGGGATAAAAATCTTTATCTCCTTTTTTCGGTGTGCTCTTACGATCGGTCGGTCGGACGCAGGCAGCACCTTTCTGCAGAAGTAAATGTGCCTTCCTGAGAAATCTTCTAAGTGCTAGTTTTTCTTTACGGCACCAAGCACTTGTTTCTAACAACTGTGTGCCAGAACATGGTGCACCCTAACTCCACAACCCTGACTCCAGGAGGACAGACACTCCAGCACTCAGGGCACTTCCAGACCTGGTCCTGTGCCTCTTCAGCCGCTGTTCATTTCTATCCTTTATAATAAATGATAGTTGTTAAGTATAAATAGTGTTTTACTGAGTTCTGTGAGTCATTCTAGCAAATTATTGAACCTGAGGGTGGGGCTCATGGCAGCCTCCAAATTTGCAAACTTCTAGTGTCACAATTGAACTGCATGGTGGGACACCCAGTTGGTGTCAGAGAACTGGTTAGTCTCTGGAAAAACACCATACATTTTGTGTTAGAAAAAAAGAAACAATGTAAAAAATGCTAGCAAAGGATAGGGGACTACCCACTATGGGTATGTCCAACACTGAATGGACAGAAAGAAGCAAACAGTTTTTCAGAGGATCCTTTGCATCTTAAGACCCTTAAAAATAGAAATGCAAACAGAAAATTCATGAATTTTCTAACTGTTCTTTTCTGCTGGATGCATTGGTTTCTTAACATGTATATATGAAACAACAACAACAAAACACTCTTGATTAGGTGATATATTTTTGTCATGTAATTTTTAAGGCAAACTATACTTCCATTTACTATTCTATACTATTGCTCTCTGTCTGAACCTGGAAGACATATATTCAAGCTGGTCATCTGCTGAGGCTTTTCATTTAGTCAGGAGTGTTAAATAAAATTTACGGGAGGCCAATGTTTTAGACTGAGCTCCTGCACTAGGCCCTAACATACCAGATCAAACAAGAATGGAGTAGTCACTTGTGCGAGGTGACACATAATCAAACTGAACTTGGAAATGGGCTAGTTTTCCAAAAAAACAGGAGATTCACAGCAATCAATGACAGGGGATCACTCAAGTTGAGCTGGTATGATAAGGAAGTTCCTTCTGCTTTAATCCTCTAAGGAAAGTAACTGTGGAATGATCTATCTGAGTTTTGTTCCTTGTTTCTGCTTTCTTCAGCTTTTTCTGCCTATGAAGCCTACCTCCTCTGCTCGGCTCTCTGGGGTACCTTTCTGTTTCATAGATGGAATGCTGCCTGATTCATGAATCATTAATAAAAGCTAATTCAATTTTTCAGCTCAATTTGTTAAAATTTTGTTCTTTCACAGGAGGAAGGTAACAAAGTCAATAGTTACAAAGCAGAAGCAAAAAAGGGGAGAAAAGTCAAAACCAAGAAAACTGAAAAAACTATGTAACAATAATTTGCTTAGCTTAACATGTACTCAAATGCAATTTTACATGTATCAGGAAAATAGTTAAATTATGACAATACTAACTTCTGCATAAGCTGAGGCCTAAATTGATGCACTCAGTCTTGGACCATATTGTATTTCTATACACATACATGCTGTTACCAAAGTATTTAGATCTGGCAGGGACCTGAGAGAATGGCTCGACCTAGGAGTAACCACTGGCCGAATGCGCTGTTAGAGCACCAGCCAGCCCTGTGCTTTGGGTTGGAGCAAGCTCACCTGAATCACACACAGTAGCAATATCACCTGAGGTTTCACTGGCAGAGACAGCTGTGACAGGGCTTTTGTGTCCCGCCAGACTTTGTACATAGCATAACCTGAAAGAAAAAAGACATGAATTTGTATATGATCATTAAATATAATTACATTCTCTTATTTTGTAATTCTTCTTCTCAGTCTATGTACCTATTGTACATAAGGCATACATGTTTTCCTATCTGATTGTATGACTTCAATAAAATATAATAGGTAATCTTACTACCTTTAAGCATGTGTTTCATGGTTAAAATGATTATAACGTAAAGACATTATTTTGGTTTATCTATTTCATATAGTAAAAATGGATATATTAAAAATGCTATGTTTGATTTGGAGACCTTCTTCTGTACCTGTTTAAATCCCATATGATGCAGGTTCCGTCTCTGCTCACACTTATCAGTATACTGTATGGTTTGCAAACAAATAAGCTGGTTATCTCTTCTGTGTGACCATAGAGATGTATTTGAGTCTCCATTTCTATTTCTGATGGCTGAAATTTTAAAATTAAGTATGAGATAAAAACCACAACAAAAAGTACTCTAGTATAGTATCTCAAAAATAAAACAACCAAAGTGACTCAAATGGTCTTCTCAAACATATCATTCTTCAATCCTATTCAGAGTAAAACAAAGAAAGAAATTAAAAAATTTTTAATTCCTCATAATTTCCAGTTATCTGGTTTTCATTTTTGTCTATTCTTGTCCAATCTTTGTTCAAATATACATGTATTTTTATAGTTGTAATATTGCCACATAAAAATTTCCTATTTTATATTTTACATATTCTCCTATAAGCTTTTTCTAATCTTGACATTGTCTTCAAAATAATTTTTAATGATGTTATAATATTCTATACAGTTAGTACCCCACAATTTACAACTATCCTTCATTGATAGACACTTAAAATTGTTTCTATTTTTTTCAAATTATAGATAATACCATAAATTCTTCATGTATAAAAGGTTTTTAGTAGATTAGAGGGCAGACCTTTGGGAAATAAATAATTAAAGTTTTTTAAGAAGAAATACTTCTGTAAAAAAAAAATTCTGGGCATGGTGGCTCATGCCTGTAATCCCAGCACTTTGGGAGGCCGAGGCAGGCAGATCATGAGGTCAGGAGGTCGAGACCAGCCTGGCCAACATGGTGAAACCCTGTCTCTGCTAAAATTTCCAAAATTTTCCTAGTGGGTTTGTGAATATTAATAATTTTATAGTTCTTGACAGTGTACTTTCAGAAGGTGTCATGCAAATTGGTGATGTTACCAACGGTAATGGGCCCTAATGCTACCGATACTCAGCAGTTATGGCTTGACTTTCTAAATCAAAGCTTGCAAACTGGTGCTCTGAGGGCCACACTGGCTCACGGATACCAGATGTCCACACAGGGTTTGACTCTTGCTTTGTTAGGTTAACTATTATCATAAAGCATTTCAATATTTCCCCTTCAAAAATATAGAAAAGTAGAAAGAATAAGTATAATAAAGAGCTATATACTGACTACCCAGTTAAACAAATCTTAACATTTTATATTATCAATTTATTTTTTAAATAAAGCATTAAACATTGTACATATAATTTGTGTACTGTTCTACATCCTATTTCTTCTGTCTTGTCAGAAGTTACTACTAGCCTAAATTTTGTATTTATACTCCTATGTAAGTTTTTATACTTCCATTATGTTACTATAGCCATAAACAACATACTGTATAATACATATAAGTATTATATTGTATTTCATGTTTATGAATTCTGAATATATGGTATTATTTTTTAGGTATCTTCTGCATCTTACCTTTTCTCAAAAACACCATTGTTTTTGAAATATATCTGTGTTGATATATTAGGTACAGCTATCTATCTTAGCTGCTATGTAGTCCAGTTACATATTTTTATAGACATAAAAATACATATTTTACACTTAAAGAATCAAAAGACCAGGCAATACCAGGCTCACATTATTCCTTGTAACAACTGGCTTGAGCTGTGTAGCAACTGCCTGTTTAGCTAGGGCGTGTGACCTTCACCTGAAAACAATCACAGCGACCAGATCAGCTTTTAACAACAGCAAGAGTAGTAAGCCTGGATCCCTGGGCCCTCCCTTTAGAGCCATTCTGGCTCTCAGATTGTGACACTCTCCACAGCCAGGAGTCTGCAGAGCCACTGGGATATACCCATAACCCATTTCAGATCATGCTTTGAGGTATGTAGGACCAAGGAATTCCCTGCTCTAAAGGACCTGAGCCCCTTCCTTTTCTGCTTGGGTTCTGCAGCATTGAGTTTGTGATTTGGCCCCACTCTAAATCTTTGAAAATTTCCTAAGTTTCAAGTGGCAATCAAGGTTGCTTTAAATGATATTTATTTTATTATAACTTTTAACTTTTTCATAAATTTATTTTCTTAGCTGTATTTTTTTGTGCCTGGTTTTGTGTATTTGTCACTACATTATAACATTTACTTGTAGGAATTCCTCTATTTGTGGAACAGAATGCAAGTAACTTCCTTGTTTCTGCCAGATGACACCCACTACCACACCAGCCTGGGGCCACCTTAACGCAAAGTGAAGTCTTTGAGGATCCTAGACAAACCAGGGAATTCCAGGGTTCTCCCATGCAACTCATTTTCATTCTGAGAGAGCAGAATGAAAGGGACCAGCCTTTTGGAGGCGGGCTCTCTTGGCACTCCCCAGCTTGCTTAGTTCCTGGGTGCCGTTTTCCATTTCTTCCACAGAGGCTGTCCAAGGACAGTGTCAGTGTTTCAGGATTGATAGTGTCCTCAGGGCTAAAGCTCCTTCCTGCTTATTTACCTCTCTGGCTTGGTAGTTTCTTACTAGCTTGTCAGATCTTCAATGCTTTTAAGGCTCTCTCTCTCTCTCTCTATAAATATCTATGTATACACACACACACACACAACTAAGACTGAATAAAAATATATTTTATCATTATATGTTTACATTATATTAAAATATATACTTATAAGTTATATTAAAACATGGATATATTTTATAAAGATATATTTTTGTATATATATTTTATCCACTCTTCATCGTTTCAGGGGAGGATTATTCTGAACAACTTTTTTAAGAAACAGTAAATCTCTTGTTGGCCATCGGCCATGATCATAGTTTTGTTTATTTGTTTTTGTTTTTTGAGACAGGGTCTCACTCCGTCACCCAGGCTGCAGTGTAGTGGTGTGATTATAGCTCACTGTAGCCTCAAACTCCTGGGCTTAAGTGATCCTCCCATCTCAGCCACCTGAATAACAGGACTATAGGTATGCACTACCATGCCCAACTACTTTTTAAATTTTTTTTTTTTTGTGGAGATAGGGTCTTGCTATGCTGCCCAAGCTGGTCTCAAACTCTTGGCTTCAAGTGGTCGTCCCACCTGGGAAGGCCTCCCAAAGTGCTGGGATTACAGGCATGAACCACTGTGACTGGCCCATGGATATTTCTAATAAGGACACACAAGTGATTTTCTTTTTTTTTTTTTGAGATGAAGTCTTGCTCTTGCTGCCCAGGCTGGAGTGCAATGGCGCAACCTTGGCCCACTGCAACCTCCACCTCCTGGGTTCAAGTGATTCTCCTGCCTCAGCTTCCTGAGTAGCTGGAATTACAGGCAGCTGCCACCACGCCCGGCTAATTTTTGTATTTTTAGTAGAGAAGAGGTTTCCCCATGTTGGCCAGGCTGGTCTCGAACTCCTGACCTCAGGTGATCCGCCTGCCTCAGCCTCCCAAAGTGTTGGGATTACAGGCGTGAGCCACCGCGCCTGGCCTACAAGTGATTTTCATATTACAGAGAGAGACAGGTAATGTGGAGGGCAACCCATACATTTATTCATCCAACAAACATTGTTGAGTGTCCCCTACTGTGTGCCTGTCACTGAACCAGGAGCTGGGGATACAGAGTTCCCCTCTGGCAGCTCCATGGCAGTAAGGAGTGAGGGCTACCAAAGATGATTTTCACAAAGAACTCCGGGGACCCACAGATAAGTCGCTTCCTCAGACTGGGGACAGGGAGTGAAAGGAGGATTCCCTGGAAGACGGCATATGAACTGAAGTTTTGAAGAACTGGCAGAATTTACTCAAAGAAAAATGGCTGTCAAAGGGCACTCTGGGCTAAGAAGACAGCATGTGTGAGGGAAAGGAGATATGAAAGAAAGTGGCACTGCCAATGTTACTGGGAGCAGGGTAGGTAGGGAGCAGGAAGAAACGTGGTGGTGAGGTAGAGGGGGCAGTGAGGCAGAGAGGGGTCAGAGCACGGGGCCTGGTGTGTGATGCCTAGCAACCTACATTTTATCCCCGAAGCAATAAAGGGTCACTGAAGTGTCTGGGGCAGGACTAATGTGATGCAGTCGGCATTTTAGGAAGGCCATCATAGAGCCTACAAGGAGACTCAACTTCCAGGGACATGAGACTGGTGGCCAGGACACCAGTGAGAAGGTCAACATAGGGACCCAGGCAGGATGCAAAGGAATGAGCTGGGGCAATGGTCAGGGGGACATCTGGAGGAGACAGGTTTGACTCATTTCTATTTATCCTGCCAAGAATTGCTGTGATTCTTTAATCCAAAATGTAGGTTTTAATTGTAGGAAAATCTCAGTCATCATCTCTTCACACTGGGCCTTTCTTCCTTCTCTCATCCTGTAACTACTCATCACATTTGGATGCTCTCATTCTAGCCCTCATATCCCTTCTTTCCTCATTTTTTTTCTTTATCTTTCTATTTTATATTCTGTGTAATTTTTTTCAGTTCATTAATTCTGTAATCTGCTGCTTGACTAGCTGTTCCAATGAATCAGCTGTGACACGTTGGGCAAGTTACAAGAAGGATTAACTGTGTGTTTCAGTAGTCTCATGTAAAAATGGAGATAATGACAAAACCTACATCAAAGGGTTATTACGAAGATTTAACATGTGGCTCACGTCTGTAATGCAAGCACTTTGGGAGGCTGAGGCAGGAGGATTGTTGAGCCCAGGAGCTCGAGAATAGCCTGAGCAACATAGTGGGAGCCCGTCTCTAGAAAAAAATTTAAAAAGTAGTAGGGCATTGTGGTGTGTGCCTGTAGCCCCAGCTATTGGTAGGGGGTCGGGGATGGGGCTGAGGTGGGAGGACCACTTGAGTCTGGGAGGTTGAGGCTGCAGTAAGCCGTGATTGTGCCACTGTACTCCAGCATGGGCAAAAGGGCAAGACCCTGTATGCCCAAGAAGAAAGTGGAGAAAGAGAAGAGCAACAAGGAAAGGGAAGGTGCCTTAGCTCAACAGGCTGCTGGCGGACATGGAGAGGAAGCCCCAGAGAAGCATGTGGCGGACAAGCAATGAGAAGCATGCTGTGCAGCCTCAGGAAGCCCACAGCAGGCACTACTGATGCAGGAGAGGCCATGAGCCAGGTGGGAGATAAGAAAGGAAAGTATCAGACAACCTGGGGCTGGAACACAATGCACAGCTCTTAGAATAAGATCATCCTCACATCTGTTTTATGCTTAGGGCCAACAGTTAAAACCATAGAAATGTAGTCGGATGAAAGAATATAGAGAAAAATAAAGATACTTGAGTCAAAAACCAATACATCAGAAATTGTAAAGAGCTTAGAACAATGCCTAATACAAAGTAAGCAGTCAGTAAATATTAACTATTATTTTTATTATGTCATTTCTAGAAGTTCTATTTTATTTTTTTCCACACATGCTTTGTTTTTCTTCAGTGTCCCAATTTTAAACAGAACAACTATCTCCAATTCACTGAGTACAGATTAGTGAGTTACTTCAACATCAAAACTAAAATGAGGTTAGCGTTCTACTTGATAAGTTACAAGTTTGGTCTCCTTGGGCCAATATTTTCCTAAAGTTTTAGGTCATTCTCCTACTGACCACAGTCAATCCCATTCATTATTGTAAAAAATATGTCAGAAGAAACATAGAGTACAGATTTATTGACCTATTCTCCACCTTTTACTCTGTGAAATGAGTAACAGTTATGGGTAAACACAACATAGGGGTCCTAATAGTAGTATTTGATAATTTTTTAATAAACTCTGCACTTTGAAATAACTGCAAAGGCTAATATTACTAGACAATTCACTGATGGGTCAGAAAATAACTTCCAGCGGGTCGAGCAGGTCTCTTGTGCTGGCACCTTCTTTTAAATATTGTTCTTGAATGAAGTAATACTACCTTGTATAAGCTGCACACATATTCTTCTGCCACTCTCAAGTTAGATAACAGATATATAGGTGTTCACTTATACGAAGATGATGTGGACACGTTACTTACTTCGTGACAGAATAACCCGACAGCAACTATTTTAAAATCAGTTATCACATTTAGAAGATATTCTCCTCTAACATTTAAATGGCTTATAGGTTACAATCCCATATAACGAGTCAACTTATTCATCATTACCTAGAATGCATTTTAGAAGACTTTTATCTTGGGTGCTTCAACAGAAACTTACGGTGCTCAAAGTTAGATATGCTTACTAGCTAAGGAAGGCATTTCCTAAGATCCCCTTGAAAGTATTTTCAAACAAGGATTTGGCCACATCCTATGTGGCACTTGGTTGGGGGGCCCATCTTTTGTCTGTGTTAAAGACAATCCAAAGGAGAACATGAACACTTTTAAAACCATGCATTCAGTGGGTCAGGAAAGCTGAAGAACAGAAACCAGTGAACATGAGGTGTCTCCTGCTAACCTCACAAGCTCAGGGTCAGAACCACAACCTTAGAGATGCCAGAATAGCAACACGATCCCTGGGAAAAAGCAACAACAATGTCTACAAATACCCAAGTAATCTCCCAACAAAACAAACTGATAAAACTACACTACTAAGTTAGATTTTTTGGCACTGTTAAATAGTAACTATTAATCTCATGATTTGATTACCTAATACTTAGGTGGAAAAAAAATCCTATAAAAATTAGCTGAAAAATCTGCTTTAAGGCAAATATATAACTGAGGACAGCTAAGCAACATAAGCCTTCACAAGTGTGTCATGACCTCAAAACTAAAAGAAATGTATGTCTTGCAGTATTTAAATTGTAATAGCTATGCTCTTGATCTGCTTCCTCAAAGCTATCCTGTGCACAAATACTCCTATAGTGACAGCTTAACCTTTTTTTTTTAAACCTGTACTGCACACTGTGTTAGTGCACAATTAAAAATGGAGAAGTAGGGAAAACTAAGAACAAGGCTGTTCAAAGTGTTGGCAAAAGCAAAAGGAAATAAAAAGCAAAAGATAAAGCCAGGTTTTAAAAAAGGTGTCCATGTCATGGTGCAAAATGATCCAAGTGCACAAGCTGACAACTGCCCTAGCAGCAGGGTTTAGAATCGATTTGTAGGGGAAGTCAGAAAGGGGAGCTCAGAAGATTAAAGGTAATGGCAGTGTGAATATTACAGATGTTATAAAATTAACATTCATTTTAAGCCTTTGGGAATCAAAAGGTGATAAAAAGGAGACATTCAAAAAGTTATGACACTTATATTCTCTGCTTATAACCTTTTTTAAAAACAATTTCAGTCAGGTCTCACTCTGCCGCCCAGGCTGGAGTGCAGTGGTGTGGTCACGGCTTACTGCTGTGATCTCGACCTTCTGGGCTCAAGTGATACTCCCACCTCAGTCTCCCTTGTAGCTGGGACCACAGGCATGCACCACCATGCCTGACCAATTTTTTTATTTTTGTTTTTTTTTGGTAGAAATAAGGTCTTGCTATGTTGCCCAGGCTGGTCTCAAATTTCTGGGCTCAAGCGATCTTCTTGTCTTGGCCTCCCAAAGTGCTGGGGCCACAGGCATGAGCCACCACACCCTGCTTATATTCTTTAGCATTCTTTTTATCATGGCATATAAGAACCTCATCACTGGCCTCAATCTTTTCCTGCCCTGCTTTTGTCATTCTTCCCCAACACGTTACACTCTAAACTACACAGGAAAGTATTTGCCACCCCCCAAAATCCCCATGCCTTTGATTCCAGGCTCTTGTGTAAACTATTTCCTCTGCCTGAAATGTTCTTTCCTCTTTCCTTTACTTACAGTAGATTGATCCCTTAGGATCCAGCTCAAGTGTAACTTAACAGGCTCCCTGATGTCTGGATGTCCTTCTTCTGTGGTCCTCTATCCTGGGTGTGGGCCTGTCTTAGAGCATACACTCCACTGTTCTGGCTCCTTAACCTGCCCTTCTTTGCTTCCTGCCTGGATCACTGCGGTGGCCTTCTCGTTGGTGTCCTGGCTCCCAGTCTCATGCCCTTGGAAGTGTTTCTCCTTGCAGGCTCTACAGTGGTCTCCCTAAAATGCTGACTGGATCATATAACTCCTGTTTATACCATTTTAATGGCTCCTTAGACTAAGAGACAGAAACAAAATATGGTCACATTTATACCTCAGTGACCATGCAAAGAAACTTAACAAGAGTTCAAAAGGGAATAAGCTTGGAAAAAAAAGTAAGAACCTGGCTGGGCACAGTGGCTCACACTTGTAATCCCAGCACTTTGGAGGCCGAGGCGGGTGGATCACCTGAGCTCAGGAGCTCGAGACCAGTCTGACCAACATGGCGAAACCCTGTCTCTACTAAAAATACAAAAATTAGCCGGGTGTGGTGGTGTGCGCCTGTAATCCCAACTACTCAGGAGGCTGAGGCAGAAGAATTGCTTGAACCCGGGAGGCAGAGATTGCATTGAGCCAAGATCACACCATTGCACTCTGGCCTGGGCGACAGAGTGAGACTCTGTCTTAAAACAAAACAAAAAAAAAAAAACAAACAAAAAAAGAAAACGAAGAACCTGGGAGTCACCCTATGCTAGAAATACAGGTTTCACTCAGTAAAACAGATTTAATACTATAAAGAAAATTATAATGGAAAAAAATGCACAGTGAAAATTCTGTATCAGAATGATGATTACTGAGTTATCAACCTAAACTTGACACATATCCTCAACTGCACCACAGGCAGTTGATTCAAGAAACAAAAACAGGCCGGGCGTGATGGCTCACACCTATAATCCCAGCACTTTGGGAGGCCGAGGTGGGAGGATCACTTGAAGCCAGGAGTTCGAGACCAGCCTGGCCAACATGGCAAAACCCCATCTCTACTAAAACTACAAAACTTGGCCGGGCGTGGTGGCACATGCCTGTGGTCCCAGCTACTCGAGAGGCTGAGGCACGAGAATTGATTGAGCCCGGGAGGCAGAGGTTGCAGTGAGCTGAGATTGTGCCATTGCATTCCAGCTTAGGCAAGAGAGGGAGGTTCTGTCTCAAAAAACAAAAACAAAACAAAACAAAACAAAACCCCCCAAAAACAGTAAATTAAAAGAAGCATTGCATAATCTGTCTTATTTTTTCCCGTTTTATGATTCAACTCCAAAATCCTGGGAGTTCAGTGAATGGCTGAAAAATAATAAAATTTCTTCCAGTAAGTGGTACAAATCCAGACAGACTACTTAGATTTTGCTGTCACTTAGTTTACCCAGAGGTTATCGGAATGTTGGACATTAGGGTTTCTAAGCTTTCAAACTGATAGACTCTTACAGTATACTCCTAAGGATTCAGGTTGCTATCGCAAATACAGGTAAGCACCAAAATGTCATTTAAAAGCCTAAATACAAAACAGATCTAACTCAAAATACCGTCTCTGAAAAAAAATGGGACTACTACAATTGTTTTCAAGATTTTTCATGATTCTAATAAACCCTAAAGCATTTTAAGACCTAATGTAGGGAGAAGATTAAGGTATAAACATTTTAAGTTAATCTTATGCAAAGTGAATTATACTTCATAAAGGCTTTCTTCCCCTCATTGACAAAGTCCCATACTACCCACACAGAAGCCCAGAACCTACCGTGCTGCTTGTAAATCTGTTTGTGTAGGCTGTGATGACACCGCATTTGCTTCCAGTAAACAGCTGGCAACTGTCAGGCACCCAAGCACAACTAGTCACCTTTGAAAAAGGACCAATCAAAGATTATCATGTTTTAAAAGAATGAAACTTAAAGTATAATAAAAATAAAATAAAAGAATGAAAAATACTTCTACTTTTCTGACAACTATTTTTTTTAACTCTCAAAAATGTTAGGTAAACATTTCTTGAAACAGAAACGTGTCAGATATAGTAATATTCCGTAACTTTGAGCCAAATGTCTAAATGTTGTTTCCAAATTAAAATATATTATAATGCATAGTCTATGTCTATACGTGCCTGTGTGTGGATATATGTGTATATATATTTAGATAAATTTAACAAAATGATTCAGGATTGATTAAATCCAAGGTTGAGTGTGAATGTATGTGTACTTCACATATTTATTTGCTTTTTGCTTTTATTTTCCTCGTTTTATGTCTTTGGTGGGGAAACAGGTACATGTAAACAGAGGTATTGCTTCTAATAGTTCTAAAGATTGTTAAGCAGGGGAAGAAAGAAGATAAATGTGAATGTAAAAGATGGGATTATGCCTTTGGTACAAAATCCCTCAGTCCTAACCATGGAGGCACCACTCAGGTTTGAGTCAATTTTCTATGTGGCCTGACAGGTCCTCTTTTCCATGCTAGCTGACCCCCACCCTGAGCACCATGTCCGCAGCAACTGTCCCCAACTGCTCTCCTGTCCCACCTCCCCCACACTCACTTCACTAAGCAGATGGAGACCCCCAGCTGCACACCTCTTCCTCTCCTCTCCTCTGCACCTCAACATGTTTCCCTGTCTTCTGATTCAGAGAAAGAAATGTCTGCTTTCAAGGTCAGCCTTGCCTCATCCTCAGGCTTCCTCAGAAACCTTGTTTTCTTTTTCTTACAGTTTCAAGCTGTCTCTTGCTGGCTTCCCCCCTTGCACTACAAGTGTGTTCACGTCTCTGCTACCTTAGAAAATGACTTTCTCTGATCTTTATTCTTCTTAACTCCCGTTATACCATAAGGATCCATTGGATCCAATTTTATGTTTTCAGTTTCTTTCTTGAGTAGTTCTATTTGTTAGGATTGATACTTCATAAATTTTATTCTTTCTTGGAGGTCTTCCAAAGAACAAAGAGAAAATGCACTTTTAAAAAATACACAGAATAAAACTCATTCTGTCTTGGAATTACCACATGGATCCAGTGAATCAACCTAAGTTACATTACAAGATCTTAATAACTAACTTGTTTTTCTATATCCTGAAACATTTAGCGATTTCATCATTCTAAAAATTATTTCATCACTACTCATCAATTATTCCTAAATACGCAAAAAACAAACAAACAAGCAAGGAAATGGGAGAATGATGGAATCTCCCAAGAGGATAATCTAATATGTGAACTAAATCGTCATCTTTTGGTTTTCTTATTGCATTGTCCAAAGTATAGTGTCATCTTTCAGGAAAGTATAAAAGAAGGCTGGAGACACCACTTCTGTAGTCTACTTTTGGCTTTCATTGAACACGGTGGAGAATTCAGAATTTTTCATTTTCTACCAAGAAAGCTGACAGAGGAAGATGTTTCACAATTATGAGACTAATCACAACATGAAGGCACACAGCCGTCAGGACTCTAGACTCTACTGATGATGATGAAATTGATCATATAAGTGAAATCTCAGAGCGTGAGTCTTTATATAACAAAATCCTGGCTGGGCACAGTGGCTCATGCCTGTAACCCAGCACTTTGGGAGGCCGAGGCGGGCGGATCATGAGGTCAGGAGATCGAGACCATCCTGGCTAACATGGTGAAACCCCGTCTCTACTAAACATACAAAAAAATTAGCTGGGTGTGGTGGCACGCACCTGTAGTCCCAGGTACTAGGGACGGTGAGGCAGGAGAATCGCTTGAACCCAGGAGGGGGAGGTTGCAGTGAGCCGAGATCGCACCACTGCACTCCAGCCTGGCAACAGAGTGAGACTCCGTCTCAAATAATAATAATAATAATAATAATAATAATAATAATAATAATAACAACAACAACAACAACAACAATAATATCCTAGCTGAATTTTCTCAAATCAAAGAATTAATGGGTGAACAAAAATATATCTTTAGAAATGTATCTCTAGATGAAAATGCAATATAGTATTCTCATCCAGTTTAGTCATTTGACTCAAAGTATCACACAATGTCATCACATCTTGTTTTGCTAACAGGACTTGTGATAGTGTTCTTTCATCTTTATTTTCATCTATTATGATACAAATAATTTTGCAATGTTTAAATTCTTTTATATACATGAAATATTATTCAGCCTTTAAAAAGATGGAAATCCTGTTATTTGTGATAACACAAATGACCCTGGGGGACACTGTATTAAGTAAAATCTGCCAGGCACAGAAAGACAAATACTGTATGATCCTGCTCCTATGTGGAATCTAAAAAAAGCTGAACTACAGAGAGTAGAGTAGCAGTAGCCAGGGGCTGAGAGTGCTGGTAATGTGTGTGGAATGGAGAGATGGTGGTCAAAGGGTACAGGTTTCAGTTGTGCAGGATGATTACGTTCTGGAGATCTAACGTAGAGGATGGTGACTACTGTTAATAATACTGTGTTGTATTCTTGAAATTTGCTAAGATAGTAGATCTTAAATATTCTCATCACACACGTAAAAAATGCTAACTATGTGAGGTGACGAATGTGTTAATTAGCCTGACTGTAGTAATCATTTCACAATGTATATATACATGTATTAAAACATCACATTGTATACCTTAAATATATACAATTTTATTTGTCAATTTTATCCCAATAAAGCTAGAAAAAAATAAAAATAAGAATTTTAAACAACTTTATTCAAGCTTTGGATCTGCTAAACTAACAAGTCAATTTACTTGGCAAAAACAATTTGACTAAATGCTTGTCTTTGTACTGGTGAAAATAAATTAGTGAATCGGAAAGCATCTTTAAAGTTATTTGTTCATCTTTGTCCTCTCTTCACACCACATCAATCTAATGTAACAGTACCCAACTCTTAAATAGAAGGAATGCCTAGTAATTAAAGGTGTAAAGAATTTGATTGAAAGCTTATGTTATATCTTTAACATTGCGTTGAAAACATTCAATTAATACTGATGATGATTTCATTTTTCTTCACTTTTCATTGGAAAGTCAAGATGTTTGTAAATACAGATTACTGATGACAGCAATGAGTTAAATCTGCTCATAAATTTGTGTCAGTGTATTTTGACAGGTAGAATGTATTGTATATCTAACTCCCACTGTACATATTTGTCTGTTTTTCCCAATTTATAATAATCCCAAAAAGGGTGCAGTAAGGGACATACTGATTCTATAATATGTTTTTGTGTTTTCATTTATTTTGTAGACTCATTTCCAATTTAGTTATACTACAAGCTTTGCCATGATTTATGGTTATAACTTGTTTGTGTTTGGATATATATATTTCTATCTGCATACAAAGGCTCTGGTTAATGCAGCCTGATGTTTCAAAACTAAAAAAAAAATCTTATTAAAGTTCCTAGTAAAGTTGTTTTTCACTGTCTCTTTATTCTTACTTCTGTCAGTTTCCTGGTAAGCTATATAACAAATGGTGGCAATATTTTGGTCAGGGATATTGAGGGTTATGCAAACAAGGCACTGCTCCTCTTGCTTTCACTGCTAAACATTCCCCTAAGTAGCTTCCTCCATTTCTAAAGAGCTCAGGGAATGGGATACATTTTAGGACACATGATAAGGCAGCAGGTGTTATGCAGGTAATGGAAATCAGAGGATGAATGGTAAGAGAACTTCCCATGGAAAGAGAGTCAAAAAAGAAGGCTGTCCATACGATTTACAGTCTGGAACGGTTGCAGCAGCATACTGTATATTTACATGGTATTTTACAGTTTACAAGTTTCTTTTTTTTTTTTTTCCCTTGAGACAGAGTCTCGTTCTGTTGCCCAGGCTGGAGTGCAGTGGTGCAATCTTGGCTCACTGCAAGCTCCGCCTCCCGGGTTCACGCCATTCTCCTGCCTCAGCCTCCCGAGTAGCTGGGACTACAGGCGCCCGCCACCACGCCCAGCTAATTTTTTTTGTATTTTTAGTAGAGACGGGGTTTCACTGTGTTAGCCAGGATGGTCTCGATCTCCTGACCTTGTGATCCGCCCGCCTCGGCCTCCCAAAGCGCTGGGATAACAGGCTTGAGCCACCGCGCCTGGCTACAGTTTACAAGTTTCTTTCACAAACACTGGAAACATTTTACAGCAGCTTTCTGAGAAAGAAGTGTGAGTACTATTATCTTGGTTGTAATGAGGAGGAAAGAAACTCAAGTTTGGAGAGATTAAGTTACTAGTCAAAGGCTGCAGTTAGTATATAACGAAGCTGGGACACTAACAAAGATCACAGGGCTTTAGGCCCAATGTTCTTTCTACTATACATGATGTCTGAATAACCAGTCCATTTAGGAAAAATCAGGTATAAAAGATGGCACTATGGTTACAGAAAATGACCTAATGACAAAGGTGAGTGAACACTGAGAAGAAGGCAATGCTGATTTGGTTCAAACACTATGCCCTTCACTGATGTTGAGCAGGAGATTTTGATAATATTCTCTCAATGAGAAAATGGGTAGAAAACAAATTTGGGGGACACAAATAGTGGTAGTTAGGAAGTCTGTAAGTACTATAAACATCAGATTCTCTCTTTTTTTTTTTTTTGAGATGGAGTTTTGCTCTGGTTGCTGATGCTGGAGCGCAATGGCACGATCTCAGCTCACTGCAACCTCTGCCTCCCAGGTTCAAGTGATTCTCCTGCCTCAGCCTCCCGAGTAGCTGGGATTTACAGGTGCCCACCACCATGCGTGGCTAATTTTTGCATTTTTCATAGAGGCAGGGTTTCACCATGTTGGCCAGGCTGGTCTCGAACTCCTGACCTCAGGTGATCCCCGCACCTTGGCCTCCCAAAGTGCTAGGATTACAGGCGTGAGCCACCATGCCCAGCCTAACATCAGATTCTTGACTGGACAAATTGCAGGATATTAAAAACTGGCTGCTTGGCTGGGCACAGTGGCTCACGCATGTAATCCCAGCACTTTGGGAGGCTGAGGCGGGAGAATCACCTGAGGTCAGGAGTTCGAGACCAACCTGGCTAACATGGTGAAACCCCGTCCCTACTAAAAATACAAAAATTAGCCAAGTGTGGTGGCACATGCCTGTAGTCCCAGCTACTTCGGAAGCTGAGGCAGGAGAATTGCTTGAATCCGGGAGGCGGAGGTTGCAGTGGGCACAGATCACACCACTGTACTCCAGCCTGGGCGATGGAGCGAGACTTCATCTCATAACAAACCAACCAACCAACCAACCAACCAACCTAGCTGCTATCAGTCTGACTCTTTTTTTTTTAAGATGGAGTCTCGCTCTTGTCACCCAGGCTGGAATGCAATGGCGTGATCTTGGCTCACTGCAACCTCTGCCTCCTGGGTTCAAGCGATTCTCCTGCCTCAGCCTCCTGAGTAGCTGGAATTACAGGAATGTGCCACCATGCCTGGCTAATTTTTTTTGTATTTTTAGTAGAGATGGGTTTTCCCCGTGTTGGCCAGGCTGGTCTTGAACTCCTGACCTCAGGCGATCTGCCCGCCTCAGCCTCCCAAAGTGCTGGGATTACAGGCATGAGCCACTGTGCCCAGCCAGTCTGACTCATTTTTATGCATTAACCATTATAAAGATACCACAAAAACGTTTACATGGGCCAGACACAGTGGCTCACTGTAATCCCAGCACTCTGGGAGGCCAAGGCGGGTGAATCATTTGAGTCCAGGAGTTTGAGGCCAGCCTGGGCAACATGGAGAAACCCTATCTCCACAGATAATATAAAAATTATCCAGGCATGGTGGCACGCACCTGTAGTCCCAGCTACTTGGGAAGCTGAGGGAGGAGGATCACTTGAGTCTGGGAGGTGGAGGGTGCAGTTAGCTGAGAGTGTGCTTTTGCACTCCAGCCTGGGCAACAGAGCGACACTCTAAAATTAAAAAAAAAGTTGGCCAGGTGTGGTGGCTCACACCTGTAATCCCAGCACTTTGGGAGGCCAAGGCGGGCAGATAACAAGGTCAGGAGATCGAGACCATCCTTGCTAACACGATGAAATCCCGTCTCTACTAAAAGAATACAAAAAGTCAGCTGGGCGTGGTGGCAGGTGCCTGTAGTCCCAGCTACTTGGGAGGCTGAGGCAGGAGAATGGCGTGAGCCGGGAGGTGGAGCTTGCAGTGAGCCAAGATGTGTCACTGCGCTCCAGCTTGGGCGGCAGAGTGAGACTCCGTCTTAAAAATAAATAAATAAAATAAAATAAAGTGTTTACCTGGTACTGTTGTGAACTTTGAATAAAGTTTACTGGAGGCTCACTTTGTTTACTCTTCAACCTTAAAATATTATCAGCATATCCCCAGCTCAGGATGGCTGACCACTGAATGTCCGTACTGTTCATGCTTCTCACACCTCAAGGAGAAGGAGAAAGAAAAGTATCAGATTGTCACTGCTCGACTGTTACATGACAGCCCAAAACTGGCAGATTAAAGGGTGAAGTTTACATAGCAGAACATATCATTTGGTGCAAGACCATCTTTAAATCTCTAAAATGGAACAATTTTTTAGTTTTATTCCTTTAATGCTAACAGGGTTCTCAGGGTGGGATTATATTTTTTCACTTGTGTTGTTTTGACTGGGATTTGTTTGACTCAGAACTAAAATTTCTGTTAAGAAATTATTATAAAAGACAGTAATAGTGAAGCTTACTCTATTCATGTTCTGAGACACCTTTTCTTTTAAAAATAAATATGAACTAGATACTATTTAACTTTCTAGATACCCAGGATAGACAACTGTTAGTAGCAGGAAGATAACACTGCTAGAGTGGAAGCAACACCTAGCCTGAGAAGGGATCATTTAATCCTGTCAACTGCAGGACTGTGTATGGTAGACCTTCATTCAATTCAAGGAGGCTCTGTTCTTCTCTTCTTCTTCTTTTTTTTTTTTTTTTGAGACAGAGTCTCGCTCTGTCACCCAGGCTGAAGTGCCGTGGCGCAATCTCGGCTCACTGCAACCTCCGCTTCCTGGGTTCAGGTGATTCTCGTGCCTCAGCCTCCCCAGCAGCTGGGACTACAGGCGCTCGCCACCATGCCCGGCTGATTTTTTTTTTGTATTTTTAGTAGAGACGGGGTTTCATCATGTTGGCCAGGCTGGTCTCGAACTCCTGACCTCAAGTGATCTGCCCGCCTCGGCCTCCCAAAGTGCTGGGATTACAGGCTTGAGCCACTGTGCCCAGCCCTCTCTCTTTTTTACAACATAGTATGATGTTCTCTTGGCATAAAAATTTGGAAATTTTGACATCATTTCCCAGTACTATTAATTATCTATGCTTTGTTGGTATGCTGAATATAGCTAAATGCAGCATATATGCTGTAAATGGTACTGCCCTTGAAACTTGCAATGTTTTAAGTTCCTAAAGGAGAGACAATGTGCTTTATTTATTCCAGTACCTAGCAGAATACCCAGAAGTAGATGAGTATAACAAATAAATATTTCTTGAATGAATCAACAGCATAGTGAAAATAGGCAATTCACAGCTTTTTGTTTTGCTGAGTAAAATAAGAAATGTTGACAACATTTTGTAACAAAAGAATTGGAATATACTCACTAAATAGAAACTCCTCTAAATATAAGCTGCTAGGGAAAGGAACCACATATCATGAGTCTTGAGTCCTCTCAAAATCTGCCATGATGCCTGGCATGCAGCAAGTGCTCCATAAACCAAGGTTTCTCATTCCAGTACCACAAGAGGCATCATCTTTTTTTTTTTCTTTCAGAAAAAGAAACTTCTCCTTTAACTATTAGGACAGTATATCTTAAATAGGATCTATTAAAATTGAATCTAAAATTGATTTTCAGCATGTATAAGCTTGGACTCAAGCCCCAGAGATTCTGATGCAGTGTGTCTCTTGTGTTAACAAGTGACCTAACTTTCATCTGTAAGCTACAACATTGTTCAGTCAATGCCTCTCTAGAATGTCTATGTGGACTGTTCCTTGCTGGGTCTAGTGTTGAGTGTATGTAGTAAACACTGACCTCTCCCAGACCCTAGGGTATTTACAGGCCAATAAGCATTTATTAAGCACTTAGAATGAACCAGGCACTGTGCTAATCATCCCCATACATTATTGTATTGAATCCTTACAGAAAATTACCCTGTGAGGTAAATTATTTTGTTATTCCTACTTTATAGATCAAAAGCCAGGATTTGCAAAGCACGAAGTTAACTTCCCCAAGGCCACATAGCTAGTAAGCAGCAGGGCAAGGATGCAAAACTCAGGAACTGCCTGTGGAGGCCATGGAGGAAACTGTTCTATTAAACTACTGCTCTGGACATACCCAGGTTCTGACAAATTCCAAATACATTGTGCGAAGAAATTAAGTGTAATTTGAGCGAACATAGCTATTAAGGGCACACTAAGGGTTCATGACTGTAGTGGCACAAATAAGATAGGCTTAGAATATGTTTGACATGCTTAAGTCCCATAATGCAAAGTGATAATACCTGCTCTTTCTCTTTTGCTCAACAGAGAGAAACTTTACAGTACTCTAATTTTTTTTTTTTTTTTTTTTTGAGACGGAGTCTTGCTCTGTCTCCCAGGCTGGAGTGCAATGGTGCGATCTTGGCTCACTGCAAGCTCCGCCTCATGGGTTCACGCCATTCTCCTGCCTCAGCCTCCCGAGTAGCTGGGACTACAGGAGCCCGCCACCACGCCCGGCTAATTTTTTTTTGTATTTTTAGTAGAGACGGGGTTTCACCGTGTTAACCAGGATGGTCTCGATCTCCTGACTTCGTGATCTGCCCGCCTCAGCTTTCCAAAGTGCTGGGATTACAGGCTTGAGCCACCGCACCCAGCCTACTGTACTCTAATTTTTTAAAGGTAAATAATTCACACATGTTGGTACTTTGGTATTATTAGTAAATTACTTGTAAATTGCCTCATAACTAATTGTAACATACTAGTAAGAATGAACCATTGATAACACAATAATTATGATTAAACAGTTCTACCCTATCCTATTAACTCACTAAACATAGATAAAACGGTATGCATCCTCTCTTATTTCTAACAACTATAAAACAATCATTCATTTCATGACAGAAATAAGAGTGAGCCTAAAAGAACTATGGCCCAGCTAGCATACCTAATTTCTTTAAGTGACTGATGTTTTCTCTGGGTGCTGGCACCTTTGTATTGCAGGTTGGGTGGAAGGCTATATATGGCTCCCAAAGAGCACAGTGCACAGAAGGTAATGGTAATTGCCAGCAGTGCTGGCTGCTAACAGGCATCTAGTCCACACACTGGCTTTTAGGCAAGTCTGCATTTAACCTGATAGAAACAGATGAGTGCCCTAGGTCATTCATTTTGGTGCCCCATGTCCACAGTAAGTAGGAAGAGTTCTTTTGTTTCTAGTGAAATGGCTAATTTGGAATGGCTGAGGGACTGCTCAAATGCAAAATGTCCCTAGTTTTCCAGTGTCTAGTTGACATTTAGAAACATGAAGAGGCCTCTACTGCACAGCACTTTCCCACATGTTGCTTTTAGTGAGTCAGTATGTGGGGAGTCAGAAAAGGATTGGTTTTCAGGAATACGTGTCTTTAAAACCTATTTTCAAGGCTATCTCGACATCCTTGTTGTGTTTGTTGCTTAAACCCATGACTATATCTTCTGAGATGGTAGATTTGTTGGTCAAATACGTCTGTCTATTCTGGGGCTCAACAGCCTCAAAGTGTACATTTCTGCCAAATCGATAACATCTTCATTTTGTGAACATAACCATCTATTCTTGTCCCCTTCAAGTTCCTCCTCTCATTTCAAATAGCACTGCATTTAACTCTCTGTTTTTTCATGTAGCATGTTTTCATTCCTACTTTGCACTAAATAACCACAAATTTGAGCTGAGTTTTTCCACCAAGGACTCAAAGTAGCAGCACAGATGAGCTAGAAATACTCAAATCTCACGAAAGATATATCCAGAATGATCTTCGTTACATTTTATTTTACCTTGTTCCTTGCTATATGTCATCAGAAGACAGAAATTCCGTGACAAACCACAGATTGCTCTGGTGGGCAGAGCCTGGAGAGAGCCAAATCTTTCTCCGTGGGGCTGGCTGAAGCAGACCACAGGTACTGGAGCACTGGGGGAACCCACGTATTCCCCCCATTTCAAGCCTTTTATCCATGACAAAGGACTCTAAAATGAAGAAAAATAAAAAGTATGGCTTTTTAAAAGGTGGTAAGTGTAGAATTACTTCTAATTTAAGCTCTAAACAAAGTAAGAGAAAGTAATATGGATTATAAGCTCTGTAAGGGCAATAATTATTTTACGCATTTTTTTTTACTTCCCCATGCTTAGCGTATAGAAATATTTGTCCCTTATTTGAGTTTTACTCTGTGGTTCTGGCCTAATTTGCATGAAAATATGTGGTTAATAATTCAAAATTCCTTGAAATTTGAGCAGAGAAAAAAATTTAGTACATTTCTTATTTCTAGTTGAAATACCTAAACTAAAGTTGATACTTACTGGAGGACTGTAATTTGGTAGTATGACAAGCCATATGTACATATGGTAATAGAAATCAAGACCACATGTAGCACAGGAAACCTCACTCAGCTATGAGCTCCTTGAAGAGAGGGAACACCTCTGATTCATCTATGTGCCTGGAACATAGCAGGTTCTCATCTCAAATAGATACGTGATGAGTGAAAGGGAAAGTGTTTATCTATGGAACATATTGCGAGGATTAGAGAATCTCTAGCCAGTACTAGAGAAGAAAAGAGATGAGAAAGAATTGTCAGTGAAAAATAAAAGGTAGAGCTTGAAGAACAATAGGATTTGGGGGAAGAAAGGTGAGTGAAGACTCTAGAGAGATACCCATTTGGCTGCCCACGAACGGTAATGAAAAGGTTTCCTCCACTTCAAGCAAAAACAGTTATTAAAAAGTTTCAAAATGAAGAAGAAAAGACATGATGCCCTTTTAAAGAGTTTCCCCAAATAGTTCTATTCTTTTTGTTCTCCTTATGACTGTTTTATCCTCTACTGAACTCTTCTTTTTTAATGGATTCCCTCCTTTTATACATTTAAGAGTTTAACCCATTATTTTACTTTCAACTCTTCAGAGGAAATGCTACATAAAATAAAAATAATATATTAAGCAATTTTCAGTCATTTCTGTAAAAAACCTGATTTTTAGTGAAACTTGCTTATGTCATTTTCCAAATAAATGAAAAAAAAGGCATCACTGACGTATAGACTATCTTTTAAAAAAATCGTGCCACTTTAGGAGCTCTAATAATTCTGTCAGACTATTTAGGGGACATGTTAAATGATATCATAGTGGTCTAAAAAATGAGTATCTCTGGAAAAGCTTAAGAGCTTCAGGAATGCTCATGTGGGAACAGAGACGTTAGGGTCAGGCATTTTGAAAACAAGCTTCTAAAATTTTGTCTAACAGTGTTTTTTTGTGGCTCCCCTGTGGGATCCAAATCTATCAATATTAAAGTTGAGAAAGGCCGGGCGCGGTGGCTCAAGCCTGTAATCCCAGCACTTTGGGAGGCCGAGGCGGGCGGATCATGAAGTCAGGAGATCAAGACCATCCTGGTTAACATGGTGAAACCCTGTCTCTACTAAAAATACAAAAAAATTTAACTGGGCGTGGTGGCGGGTGCCTGCAGTCCCAGCTGCTCGGGAGGCTGAGGCAGGAGAATGGCATGAACCTGGGAGGCAGAGCTTGCAGTAAGCCGAGATCACGCCACTGCACTTCAGTCTGGGCAACAAAGCAAGACTCTGTCTCAAAAAAACAAAAACAAAAACAAAAAAAATCAACAAATAAAGTTGAGAAAAATGTGTGTGCTAAATTTTAGTTATAATTTATCATTCACAATTCCTTGCCAGGAATTCATATAAAAGGAACTTCCTTTTATATGAGTTGCAGAGTTTAAACTTCTAGTTTTTCAATGACACAGAAAGATACAAGGGCAACTGTTTTATATCATAGCATATTTATGATCATTATTCTCCTTTCTTTTTTTTACTTTAGTTCTGGGATACATGTGCAGAACGTGCAGGTTTGTTACATAGGTATACGTGTGCCATGGTGGTTTGCTGCACCTATCAACCCATCATCTAGGTTTTGTCTTGATGCTCTCTCTCCCATCCCCACCAACTCCACCGCGTGGCCCCAGGGTGTGTTTTTCCCCTCCCTGTGTCCATGTGTTCTCATTGTTCAACTCCCACTTATGAGTGAGAACAAGCGGTGTCTGGTTTTCTGTTCTTGTGTTAGTTTGCTGAGGATGAGGGCTTCCAGCTTCATCCATGTCCCTGCAAATGACATGATCTCATTATTTTTTACGGCTGCATAGTATTTCATGGTATATATTTTCTTTATCTAGTCTATCATTGATGGGCATTTGTGTTGGTTCCATGTCTTTGCTATAGTAAATAGTGCTGCAATAAACATACGAGTGCATGTGTCTTTAGAGTAGAATGATTTATATTCCTTTGAGTATATACCCAGTAATGGGATTGCTGAGTCAAATGGTACTTCTGGTTCTAGATCCTTGAGGAATTGCCACACTGTCTTCCACAAGGGTTGAACTAATTTACATTCCCACTAACGGTGTAAAAGCGTTCCTATTTCTCCACAGCCTCACCAGCATCCATTGTTCCTTGACTTTTTAATAATCGCCATTCTGATTGGTGTGAGATGGTATCTCCTTGTGGTTTTGATTTGCATTTCTCTAATGATCAGTGATCCTGAGCTTTTTTCCAACAGTAACCAAAACAGTATGATACTGGTACCAACACAGACATATAGACCAATGGAATAGAACAGAGACTTAAGAAATAACACCACACATCTACAACCATCTGATCTTCAACAAACCTGATAAGAACAAGCAATGGGGAAAGGATTCCCTATTTAATAAGTGGTGCTGGGAAAACTGGCTAGCCATATGCAGAAAACTGAAACTGGACCCCTTCCTTACACCTTATACAAAAATTAACTCAAGATGAATTAAAGACAAATGTAAAACCCAAAACCATAAAAACCTTAGAAGAAAATCTAGGCAATACCATTCAGGACATAGGCACGGGCAAAGATTTCATGACGAAAAGGCCAAAAGCAATTGCAATAAGAGCCAAAATTGACAACTGGGATCTAATTAAAGAGCTTCTGCACGTCAAAAGAGACTACCATCAGAGTGAACAAGCAACCTATAGAATGGGAGAAAATTTTTGCAATCTACCCATCTGACAAAGGTCTAATATCCAGAATCTACAAGGAACTGGTACAAATTTACAAGAAAAAAACAAACGACCTCATGAAAAAGTGGGCAAAGGATATGAACAGCCACTTCTCATAGAATATTTAAAGAGGAGTGCTTTATTGAAATGCTTTTTATACAGCTCTGATTGTTTTGAACTTCAATAGTGAACTGAAGTTCACACAAGCATACCTGGGTCATCCAGATGACCCCCTTATAAATGAGTACTGTTGCTTGGTTTCAAGGCTTGTGTTTGCATTTTGTGTAGATGTCAAGTGAAGGCCCACAGAGTCAAGAAGCAGTATGGTGTCGAAAGTTTCACCGTGGTTCAAATAAAGAAAAGCAGTGGCATAAATGTCATTACACATCACACAGAAATGCAGCAAACCAAACCTTAAAGAATTTGCATCAGAGAAGACATTAATTTAAAAAATGCTGAGTGTCTATTATATGCCCAGGACCTTCCTAGGAACTGGGGACACAGTAATGAACAAGACAGACAAAGTCCTTGTGTTTATGGAGTTACATTCTATTTGGGATGGGAGTATAGACAAATAAATAAACAAATACATATACAATATGTCAGGTGATAGAAGTGCTATACACCAAAACAAAGAAGGGGAAGGGATCTGAGGATGACGGAACAGCTGTTTTAGACATAATTAGACTTAGATATAATCAGAGCTTTTGGAAAGCATTTAAATGGGGGTCAGGGAAGACTCTGAGGAAGAGATGTCTGAGCAGAGACTTGAATGAGATGAGGGAGCAAACTGGGGATATATCTGGGGAGTGGTTATTCCAGGTGGAGCAAAGAGTCATCACAAAGGTTCTGAGGTGGGAATGAAGCAGGCTGGTACCATGTTCCCACTGCGAGCAGACATACTGCTCAGATACAACTTTAACAGCTAACGAGCAGTAAGTATAGTAGTAAATTAAATGGCATTTATTAATTTTCAGGGATGTATTGTAAAATTATGCTGACATGTTAAAGTGACAGATTGGGCTGGGTGTGGTGGCTCGCATCTGTAATCCCAGCACTTTGGGAGGCCGAGGCGGGCAGATCATGAGGCCAGGAGTTCGAGACCAGCCCGGCCAATATGGTGAAACCCCGTCTCTATTAAAAATACAAAAATTAGCTGGGTGTGGTGGCGGGCGCCTGTAATCCCAGCTACTCGGGAGGCTGAGGCAGGAGAACTGTTTGAACCCGGGAGGCAGAGGTTGCAGTGAGCCGAGATTGTGCCACTGCACTCCAGCCTGGGCGACAGAGCGAGACTCATCTCAATCAATCAATCAATCAATCAATCAAGTGACAGATTGTAGTTAAAAATAGTGACCCTGGTAATTACAGTGACTAAAGTGATTTGTGAAGCTTCAAAAACAGAAAACAAAAAATATAGTTTTCTATTATGAAACTCAACACTTGTAATTTAGTTTTAGCAAAACAACACTGTCTACCATATTAATGCTTTAAAATTGAATTTCACTGGTGGAATAAGTTTTGTTTGTATTTAACATGAACATTTGACATATGTGAGCTATGAGCGCAAATAATTTATATCCAGTGTTCTGTCTTACATAAAGTAATATTACAAGGAATAATAGTCAAAACAAGGTGTAGGTGTGTAAAAACCTTTTCCTCTTAAAATAGGTCACAGATTACTGCACTTTGAGATACACTGAGTTATTTCATCTTTAAGGTCCTTTACAACGTCTTTCCCTTACCTTTTCATTTTCTGTGATTTCCTTCTGCAAACCCTTACAGTGCTTACAATTCACATTCTACTATCTTATGCTGTTTTTATAACGAAGAATTGAGTTGAAGATTAAAATCCACTTTAGCTTTAAGGCTTGCTTGATTTTTCTATTTTGAAGTAAAAATTATACCTACTTCCTATTTTTGGAGGCAATACTTCTTATCATTACAACCTGAGGAGGCCAAAGAAATATGTAAAGTTCCCCTTAGGTATAAACCAAAACATCCGCATCACTGGTCAATCCTTTTGATTGTAGATGATAACCAAGACCATGGTATGCATGTGTACACTGGCACACCAATGCTCAAACTATTCTCTAGTCCTTCTCTTCTTGCTTGAAAAATCCTATTATGTCACTGCCCTGCGAGGCTTTCCCTGGGAATAACAATTCTCTCTGCTCCCTGAGGGAGGTTACCGTCTGAAACGATGAATTCTTTTTTCCTCTGAGCTCCCCAAAGCACTCTCTCATATCGCTAACACAGCATTTACCTCGCACAGGATTCTGCTTTCGCTGCTGCACCTGTCTTGCACTGACTGGCACACAGCTTTAGGCCAGGACCATGCTATTCATCACCTGGGAGAGTGCCTGGCATCACAAGAGTCTAATCAGGTTTTGCTGCACTCGATTGAAATCCAAATGACATACCGGATAGGTGATTTCTTTGACCTGTTCTCGGGTCTCCCTGAAAGCAAACTGCACTAGCAACCCCACAGCAGCTGGAAGCTCTCCTTCAATATTGAGCTTGGCTCCAGGTCTGCTCACATGGGCCATGTGGAACAGCTGACGGGGAGTCTGCCCGTAGGTTTTTATCATGGTTTCTAGCGCTCGTCTCTGAACTGGATCTTCAACTGCAGAGACATCCATTCCAAAATATGTCTGCAGAGTGAAAGAGTAAAGGAACAAGACATATGTAGTAAAAAGAAAGACTTGACAATAATACCAAAGGGAAAAACAACACTTTGTTTTATATTCTAGGTTATGGAAAAAATGCTTTTGTTCAGGTTAACAATCACTCATGGTCTCACTGAGATCAGAAGTATCAATGTTTCTGAATAGGTGAACAAAAACAACGTATCTTGACTGATGGTTATAATTAGTTATGTTTATAAAATTAGCTTTTAATTTAAGATCTGAGAATATCATATATGACCTGATACTAAATTATTGAAGAAGTTGCTTATCCAAAGCAATATATAGGAAAAGGCAAAAATGAAGTTAAAATACAATGCTGGTAGATAGTTGAAGAGATAATTATTTAGGTTCTAATCAATATTGGGGATAAAACCAAAAGAGCAGCAATGAAAATTCAAAGCTCTTAAATGTAAAGGGTATTATTGTACTAATAAAATTACTGCACTAAGAAGCATATTTTTTCTTAGTGTCATTATCCCGTAGAGTCAGATGGAGAGCAATGCACATTTACTTATTTCTAAAGCTGGCGGTCAGTAATTGAGTACAGATCAGCCATATTTTGTACATATCCACTTGATGGCTTAGCTTTTCGTATATTTAATCAGTCATAGTGGCTTTCATTACATATCTAGACATAACATTTCTATAAATGCCAAAATAAAATTCCAAAGATATTTCAGAAGTTAGGTCATCTTCAACTCCATTCTCCTCACCACAACTCCCAGCACCAGTGATCAAATCCTTTTTTTAAAAAAACCTTTAGGTTCAGCAGTACATGTGCAGGTTTGTTATTTGGGTAAACTTGAGTCACAGGGGTTTGTTGTACAGATGATTTCATCACCCAGGTACTAAGCCTAGTACCCAGTAGTTATTTTTTCTGATCCTCTCCCTCCTCCTATCCCTCACCCTAAAATAGGCACCAGTGTCGTTGTTCCCCTCTTTGTGTCCATGAGTTCTCATTTAGCTTCCACTTACAAGTGAGAACATGTGGTATTTGGTTTTCTGTTCCTGCATTAGTTTGCTAAGGGTAATGGCCTCCAGCTCCATACACGTTCCAACAAAGGACATGATCTTGTTCTTTTTTATGGCTGCAAAGTATTCCATGGTGTATATATACCACATTTTCTTTATCCAATCTGTCATTGATAGCCATTTAGGTTGATTCCATGTCTTTGCTATTGTGACTAGTGCTGCAGTGAACATTCATGTACATGTGTCTTTACGGTAGAATGATTTACATTCTTTTGGGTATATACCTAGTAAAGGGATTGCTGGGTAGAATAGTAGTTCTGTTTCTAGCTCTCTGAGGAATCACCACACTGCCTTCCACAGTGGTTGAACTAATTTACATTCCCTCCAACAGTGTACAAGTGTTCCCTTTTCTCCAGAACCTCGCCAGCATCTGTTATTTTTGACTTTTTAGTAATAACCATTCTGACTGGTGGGAGACGGCATCTCACTGTGGTTTTGATTTGCATTTTTCTATTGATCAGTGATATTGAGCTTTTTTTCATATGTTTGTTGGTCACACGTATGTCTTGTTTTGAAATGTGTCTGTTTATGTCCTTTGCACACTTTTTAATGAGGTTGTTTTTTTCTTATACATTTGTTTAAGTTCCTTATAGATGCTGGATATTACACCTTTGTCAGATGTACAGTTTGCAAATATTTTCTCCCATTCTGTAGGTTGTCTGTTTACTCTATTGATAGTTTTTTTTCCTGTGCAGAAGCTCTTAAGTTAGATCCCACTTGTCAATTGTTGCTCTTGTTGTGAATACTTTTTATAAACACTTATCTAAGAAAGGCCAATTGCAATGGCTACTTAATGTACTCAAAAAATCAAATAAGGATTGATACACTCCTGTAGCTAGAACTGTTTTAAAATTTATTTTAAAATAGTGCTTTTCAACATTCTGTGGTATTCATTTCTAAGTGAACCCCATGTATTAGTGAACGGTCATTAAGGGCAACAGGCATCTCTACATGCCTTTTTAAAAAGTTAACATTTATTTGTGCTTAATTGTGTTAGCAGACATTATCCTACATGAATTTCCTTCCTCATTTATGAGGTTGGTTTTATTATTCACATTTGACAAGTTTGTACATTTTGGTACAGAGAGGTCAAGATATTTGCCCTAAGGTCACACAACAAGTGGCAGAGTCACAGAGTGAGGATCTGAACTCAATCCTTAATTCAGAGTCTCTGCACTTAATCGCCATACTTTGTTTTGCCCCATTAAATAAGTTTTATTAAATTCTTAACGATGGCATAAACTTTATCCTTCTAAAAGTTACTAAAGTCCCAAAGAATTAGTGAAAAAAAATTCCAGTCAGATGAGAATTACCATGTGTATTTCAGTCTTCAGATACTTTTTTTTAAAAAAAAAATTGAGACAGGGTCTTGCTCTGTCAACCAGGCTGGAATGCAGTGGCACGATCATGGCTCACTGCAGACTTGAACTCCTGGGTTCAAGTGATCCTACTGCCTCAGCCTTTTGAGTAGCTAAGATTACAGGAGTGTGCCACCATGCCCAGCTAATTTTTAAATTTTTTGTAGAGACAGGTTCTTACCATGTTGCTCAGGCTGGTCTCAAACTCCTGGCCTCAAGCGATCATCCTGCCTCAGTCTCCCAGAGCATTTGGGTTATAGGCATTAGCCACTGTGCCTGGCCCAGTGATACTTTTAATGTAAATTTTATATAAGAATAACTGAAAAGATGGTTCAGGATTATAAACAAAAAGGGTATAATGAAGTTAATGTTAAGATTCCTAATTGCTCTTTTTATTTTTATTTTTTATACAGGGTCTCACTCTGTCACCCAGGCTGGAGTGCAGTGGCATGATCTTGGCTCACTGCAACCTCCACCTCCCAGGTTCAAGCAATTCTCCTCCCTCAGTCTCCCAAGTAGCTGGGATTACAAGCAAGAGCCACTACCACCCAGCTAATTTTTGTATTTTTAGTAGAGACAGGGTTTTGCCATGTTGGCCAGGCTGGTCTTGAACTCCTGACCTCAAATGATCCACACGCCTCGGCCTCCCAAAGTGCTGGGATTACAGGCATGAGCCACCATGCCTGGCCTCCTAATTGCTTTTAAAGTTGCATTTTGGAATCAAATGAAGCTCAAAAATCAGACCCGAAGCCTTGCATTTATTTTATACTTGATGGAGTTTAGGACACACAACCCCAAAATTTCGTACCCTGGCATACTGAAGGAATCTGAGGAACAGCATGTGCACGAAGGACTTTTTGGCTTTCCCCTGAAGCAGATCATAAGATTTTCACTTAGGAGTTACCCTCCCTATACCTGTAGTAAAGAAGCACCCTCATTTCAGAAGACAAAGGGACACAGAGGAATCTGAACAAACAGGTCCTGCTATTCCCCTGGTTAATCACACTTAGCTCCTACTCCTTTGTCCTATCATTTTTCTTCATGACATTCCATTCCTCATCAAACCAGACATAAAAACATTCAGGTTTAACTACTTGGGGTCTTATTTCCACGTGAAGCCTCCCGTGCCACATAAAACTTGCATTAAATAAATTTATATGCTTTTCTCTTGTTAATCTGGGTTTTTGTTTTTCTTTGTTTTTGTTATTTTGCAGAGGCTCCAGCAAGTGAACCTGAGGAAAAGAAGGCATTTTTTCTCCCTTACATATTAATATTATATGTAAAGTTGTTATTCACCAATGAAACTATATTATTCTCCTTTTTTAGAATGAACTTTTCCATAGCATTTATCTTCTATTAGAATAATTAGGAAGCCTATCTTATTCTCTTTTCTAGATTATAAATCTCTTAAGAAATTTAATTTTATATGACTTCAGACGTACTCAAAATAATTATGGAACAAAATGAACTAATGAGCTTTTTATTTTAAAGCTACTTTTGGGGAATGGACTACTGGCCTAAATAAGCTCAGATATGGAGTGGTCTACTGTAGGTTCTGTGTGTGCACTTTACCTGTATTTGTTATAAACGCTTGTAGATTTGCTACAGTCGACACAGAAAATTACAGTTAGTGGAGAAGTCCTTCAGATATTTCCTTTTAAAAGGAAGTATCTTTCTTTTCAGAATCTGCTTTTTCACCTCCCACTCCTTGAGGGATTTCCTTTCAGCGGCCTCATTTGGACTCTACTACTACATCCAGGCAGGCCCATCTACCTTGGAGAGGAAAGTTGGCTTTCCTCCTAACCCCCTTCACCCTATTTGAGTCTTATTTACTTTTGCATCCCCAGCACCTAGCAAAATAAATGTTTCCTGAAGAGGTAAGATTTTTTTTTTCTAAAGTTAGTCTAGCCAACAACATCAAAAAGTATACTTGAAAATGTAGGCCAGACATGGTGGCTCACGCCTGTAATCCCAGCACTTTGGGAGGCTGAGGTGGTGGATCACGAGGTCAGGAGTTTGAGACCAGTCTGGCCAAGATGGTGAAACCCTGTCTCACTAAAAATACAAAAATTAGCCAGGTGCGGTGGTGGGCGCCTGTAATCCCAACTCCTTGGGAGGCTGAGGCAGGAGAATTGCTTGAACCTGGGAGGTGGAGGTTGCAGTGAGCTGAGATCACGCCACTGCACTCCAGCCTGGGTGACAGAGCAAGGCTCCATCTCAAAAATAAATAAATAAATAAAAAGTAAAAATGTAACAATTCTACTTCTAGGAATTTATCTTAAGGAAGTAAAGATGTACATAAAAATAACCATAGAAATATTAATTTTAATAGCAAACAAATCCTAACTAAATATCCAACAATAGAAGACTGCTAAATAAATTATTCTATAGCTATACTTAAGAATATAGGTTGAGTATCCCTTATACAAACATTTGGAACCAGAATTGTTTTGGATTTCAGGGTTTTTTTGGGGGGGGATTTTGGAATATTAGCATTATTTACTTAGCAGTTCAGTATTCTTAATCCAAAAATCTGAAATCTGATATGCTCCAATGAGCATTTCTTTTGATTATCATGTTGGCACTCAAAAAGTTTCTGATTTTGAAGCATTTTGAATTTTGGATTTTTGGATTAAGAATGCTCTACCTATAGTAAGTAGCCATTAAAAATAATGTAGAATGATACCCAATGACTTGAATAAATTTAAGATTATCTTATTTAGGGAGAAGATAAGGTTACCAAATAGCATTATTATTATTATTATATAAATGGAATGATACATATGTATAGATAGAAGTCTAAAGGTGCTTTCACTATTTATTTCTGGATGGTGATATTAAAGTGGACTTTAAAATTTCTCCCTGTTGCTAGTCTGTATTTTATACATTTTTCTAACAAAGTACAAGTACTTTTTCTGTAATAAGAAAACATGGTGCCATTTTAAAGTAGAACATGTATGTAGGATAGTGTGCGGAAAAGAGTTAACATAGCAAGATTGACTGCTATCTCTGGAAAGGCCTGCTTGCAAAGTTGGCTCTTGGCTGTTGTCTGGGAACCTGGATTTCAGGAGAGGTCCTACCATTCCCTAACTGATAAGAGTGGCTTACTGTGCCTAAACTGTACAAACAATGCAGTTTATACCGAACACCTGCTTTCCTTCTGAGGCTGGAATTTCAGTATGTGCGAGGCAGAGGGTGCCTACGTTGCCAATCTCAATAAAAGTCTTGCACACTGAGCCTCTAATGAGATTCCCTGGCAGACAACATTTCACATGTGTCATTATGACTCGTTGCTGGAGGAGGCTGAGTATGCTTTTTGTGCTTTACCAGGGGTAGATTCTTGGATGTTTGTGCCTGCTTTCTCCCAGACTTTGCCCCATGCTGATTCTACTTTGTATCATTTACTGTAATAAACCTGAGCTGGAAGGATGACTATATGCTGAATCCTCAAGTCCACCTAGTGAATCATCAAACCTGGGGATTGTTTTGGGGCACCTCTGAAAAAGATAGTATCTTGTTTTTAAAGAGAGGAAATATAAAACCTGAAAAATCTTAGGTGACAGTTTAATGCTACTACCAATTCTCTTTGATAACTTGAGTGTTTTAAAGGAATGGCCGAACAACTAACCTTAAAATATTCAGGTTCTATCTTATATAAATACAGATTGTTTTAAAAGAGTCACTTACAGCAGGATGAAAAACATTGATCGCTTGAACAGAAGCCTTCCCCTTTTGCTTATACCCAAACACCAAGTCAATCCACTGACAGATGTTCTGCGACACGTAGTCAGACTCTAGAGCCTGCCGATGGATGAGGATAAAAAGACGAGGATCATTACGCGCCCAAGGGGGAAGGTTGACGTGATTAACCCGTTCACCATTCTGACGCACACCAAAATCAAAACCTAAAAGAGAAGATTAATATTAATATTTAACTCCCCCACAGCAAGTTTCATTCAGCTACAGAGCAGGTCTTAAGAGTTCACAAAAATAGCTGTTTGTGTGCTACAACCAAAAAAGGGAATAGCAAGGAGGATTTACATTTTGAATAAGAAACACCACTGCTCATCTACTTATGTACCTACTAATAGGGCTATGTGAGCTAATGCTATCATAATTAAATTTGAGATCTTTCAACTTTATCCTTCTACCACTTTACAACATATTGAAGAAAAGGAGAAAACCATTGCCTACTAATTCCAATATTCTGACTATTCACATCTTCAAGGGCATTAAGTACTTAAATATCTATTCAATTGTAAACCTGATTAGAATCAAACTAAGGCTTTGTAGAAGCATTTCTAAACTATTGGTATTAACATTTTAATAAATTTAAGATTATATTTAGTAAATATTAGTATTCTATAGTTTAAAAACTCAACTAATATAAAGTATACACATTGTTAGAATGAATTGCCATAGTCTATTAATTTTATAAGTCTATGGGTCTGTTCTGACTTCCTTTCTACTAAGCATTCCTGTAGATAGCAAAATTATCCCAACACAGGAAATAAGAGGGTTCTTCTGTGATGTAAATGAGCTAATATCTAATTGTCTCATCAGTATAAACAAAAATCTCAGAAGTGTTTATTTAAAAAAATTATCCTAAAGGAAATGTTACCTTTAAACAGAAATGGCTTTTTGTGCTACATTTTCTAGTTTGCTGAACACCATAACAAAAATTAAAAATGACCTTTTAAAAGCTGATTAAGTTCCATGTAAAATTAAGTTGCTGTCTGTCTACTTTTTGATCTTGTAAAAACAGTTAGAAGGATCTTCACCAAAATACTTGGGAAGTATTTTGAAATGATATGATATGGAATATAAATCAAGGGTTTATATAAATTCACATGGGATGGGGATGTGAGCATCTCAGAAAGCTCAGCAGTCATCGTACAGAGCAGCTGCATGGTTGATTTAGGATGGACTGGCTGAGCACCTGCAGAACTCCATGTGTGTGGCTTCAGGAGCGGCAGCAGCAGGAACTTATTTATTTAACAGTGAATGAGGCATCTGGGAATGGGCTGGGGATGGGGTGCATAAGGGCATTTGTACAAACTCAATCTTTCCCAACTTTCAGGTGTTCTGAGGGAACATCTGACTCCTGACCCAAAGCAGACAACTGACATACGAGAGTCCCAGGGGAACACTGATAGGAAATGATATGATATACGCTGTAAAAAACTGTGTTTTCCAAAAATGGCTATAACAGCATTTCCTGTCTTGCATGCCCTTCCAGAATCTTGCTACTCTCCATCACAAGGCAAAGTCTATCTTCCTTTCTTTTGAATCTGGGAAGACACTTGTGACTGCCTCAATGAATAGGAAGAATACAGTGGAAGTGATGCTGCGTGGCTGCTAAGAACAGGCTGGAAAAGGCCATGCAGCCTCTGTTCGTCTCCCTCTTGGAACACTTGTCTTTGGAACCCTGAGTTGCCAAGTAGGACATCCAGGGCTGCCGTGCTGTGGGGAAGCCCAAAACTAGCCCACACAGAGAGACCACATGAAAAAACACTGACATTGCATGAAGAGAGGGTGATGTGCTCCAGCTGCCTAAGGCTTCATCTCCTGCCTGTTCCAGCTCCAGAAAACCTGAAGGCAACAGCATGAGACACCCTGAGCTAAAACCATCTAGCTGAGCTGTTTCTGAACTTCTGACCAATTTCTTATTTCTGACCAATAAAAAATAATTTTATTATCTGTGATTGATAATAAATTTATTATTGTTTCAAGCCATTAAGTGTTGAGATTATTTGTTATACAGCCACAGATAGCTAGAACATACATATAAGAGACCATGGACAGAGAAAACAAGGAGTAGATTTAAACAGGAGTCCTAAATGAAAAGCTTCAAGGCAGGTGCCCCAAATTGCAGGTGCTGATGTTTGACTGAGGCATTTCTCACTTGAGCAACACTATGAAATAAGCTCCAGGGTGGCATGAATCTACTGATGATTCAATAATCAATCAAACAACCTCAGAGACACAGATACTATACAACAAAATTCCAATGTAATTTGCCCAACACCAACTTCTTAAAGCTGTTTCATATGCTCTTAAGGATCACATAAAATTATAGAATTAAGTAATATAAGAAAATGACCCAAAGATACCCCTTAAAGGGTTAGCTGCTCTTCTATTTAAGAATAGCTAAGGTTGGCAGCCAAGACTGTTAGTTGGCATCACAGAAAATTTGATTTTATACTCCAGTATTCCTTTTGGTTATTAGATAATTCTGGGCAGAGTATTTTATTTTTATTTTGGTCATTCCTCATAAAATAATTGAGATTTCAGTTAATTTACATTTTGCTTTCAATAAAGTCATACCTCTTATTTTTAAAGTAATTAGCACATTATAACTTTTGTATTCAGAAAAAAGAATAAAGCAATTTCTATAATAAAATTAAAATACATATTTACAAATAACTTTAATAGTTAAAAGTTACAGTTTTCCAAACATATTTAGTCCTATAAAATACTTAAAATCCTCAAGCTTATTTGAAAATAGAATTATATACTTAATAAAAAACATTTTCTCTTATTTGGGGACTCAAAAATTTTTAGGACTTAAAAAAGCTATTTTCATTTTTGGAAAATTACAAAATAACCACAAGCCCTCAGAAATATAAATTAAAAATAATTTATTGCTATACCTTCACGGTTAACTAGGAACTCTGGAAGATAGAAAAACTCTGGGATAAGTTCTTTCACATCAGTCATAGATTCAAAAGATGAGAGTCGCCAAGTTGTATTTGTAGAATGAAAAGTTCTGTCTGGAATGTCAAAACTTTGATCTATAAAAAAATACAAATAATACGATTAAGACACAAAGACCTAATTCTATTTGAGGCCTATCATAATTAATTTACTTTTGCCACTTCAAAAAGATTAAAATAATGCTAATTTTGTTTGCCCATAGTTTAAAAGAAGTTATTCATGTTCTTGAAAATAAATATTTCTATAAACTTGAGATCATATTACATTTTTCATCTGTATTATGCTTTTGTAATATATATTATTAGATTAGTTTATATCATCTATTTGTTTAATTTTCGTCTATCTATCAAAGTAGAATGAAAGTTCCACAAAAACAGGGCCCTGGGATATCACCCACACCTTGCACATAATGGGTATTCAATCATGGTTTATTTATTGAATGAATGAATAATGAAGAAGGAAGATTTAAGTTCAAGTAGGCAAACAGTTTTTTCCCCATCAGGAAGCATGATTCCTTCACTTTGAATTGTTAAGACTACTTTTTCTCCTTTCTTTTCTTTCTTTCTTTTTTTTCGGGGGGGTGCGTAGGTTACGGTGCATTGTTTTTTGGTGTTCTAACTCTGAGCTAAAGAATTGAGTAAAATTTCCTGTGAATGAAAATAAAAATAAGCATAGTCACTCTTTCGTTCATTTTTTTTCCAGGGTAGACTATTAATAATAAAGAATTAAGTTTGGACTCTCTTTTCTGCCAACAATGATCAGACTTTCTAGCCATAGGGAAAGGCCTAGAATATTAAATGATATCCAAAAGCTAGCCTCTGAAAACAGTAGCAGTTTACATGTTTCTTAGGAACCATATTGCATCATCTAAAACTCCTCTGAACTTGTTGAAATTTGAACACATCTTTTCATTTGGAGACTGCCACAAACACATCGCAGCATCAGGTTTCTTCTCCCAGCCTTAGTTGCTCTGCTGAGCAACATCTTCTGTCACTTGTATTACTTTCTCATCTATTCTGTTGAGTCAATTGGCATTGGCTGGCCACTAAAAAAAATCTGGGAAGAAATAAGGTTTAGAAACATTTACTTTTTCTCAGAAAGTAAGGAGGGCCACTTAAAGAAATACCTACTAACTTAGTAGAAAAAGTTATCAATCAAAATGGAATTCAGAAAAATTAAGGTAATTCTCAAAAACAAACAAAAAAACTAAAAGAAAAATTAAGGTAATTTTGTAAGGCTATGGTGAGGTCAAAGTATCTGGAGCTAAGACTAAGGAAATACGGAACAAGAGTAGCACATTGGGTAGGTTCTGTTCAGATTTTAAGATTCTCTGTATTTTCCTACATTTTATTAAACAGTACTACTACAAATTCCCATTATCTAGAATATGCATATATTAAACCTGTGGTTCTCAACCAGTAGCACTTTTGCCCTCCAGGGGTTATTTGGCAATGTCTAGCAACATTTTTGATTCTCACAACTGGGGGGATGGGGTGTGGGTGGTGGTGGTACCACTGGCACTAGTAGGGAGAGAACAGGGATACAGCTAAACGTCCTACAATGCACAGGGCAGCTCCCATGACAAACGAATTATGCAGCTCGAAATGACTACAGTGCCAAGGTGGAGAATCCCTGCATTAAACCAAAGCCAAGAAATAAATTCAAAAGCCAACAGATATCACTTGAAACTAATGAGATGAAAGTGAATGGAGACTGAGGTAGTCCTAGGTTTTAAACAAAATATATTCATAAATACATAATGAAGAAAACATAATATATGAATACATTCATAATAGTAACATGAATAAAAATATTGATAAATTTTAGTTGATTGGTAGTTTTATATTAATGGGTTCTTGGGCTACATTAAATGAAATGTAGTCTTGGATGGAGGGAGGTAATAGTTCTGTTAAACACTGTAGGGGCCCAAACCACATCTGAAATATTCTTTTTTATTTTGACTGCCTTTTTCTTTTCATCAAGAGCATTCACAAATCAGAACATGTCCAGAAAGATCTTCAGAATAGTGACAGGCTTGGAAACCACAGCAAACAAGGATGGCTTAAACATTGGTTTTAAAAACTCTTTATTTAGTACAAAACTGTCCTATTTATTTTTTGGTATTCCTTCCAGCAGCTGGGATAGGACCATGCATCCAGGAGGCCCTCAATCTGCCGTCAAATTAACCAAGGATAATTAGCCAGGGGAAAAACAAGAGAGAGAGAGAAAGGGAACAGGCCAACAATTTTCAAATATTTGAACAGCTGTCATATAGAACATTTGTTCTGTTTACTTACAGAGAGACAAACATAGGAAAGCCCCTTTTATAGACCAATAAGAGTGAATACAAATTCATTCCTCCAATAGGTTGTACATGAGTAAAAAGCATGAAGTAGTTCAAGAATGGTTGAGTAAAAGAATGGATAATGATTCCTCAAAGTATTCTGGATTCCATGAGAAACAGCTATAGAACTAATATCACCGTTCTCATTAGAAACTACAGGTGAGTATGTCCCAATCTCCACAAAAATACAAATTCACTCCTATCTAAGTCATGTTCAGGCCTCCAGTCTGTCACTTAAAATGCTGATGTAGAAGATTATTAACTACAAAGCTACCACAGTGAAGTTGCCGGTGTGCGTCTTTTATTAACTAGTTATAATAAACCTCAATAATGTACTTGCCTTTATAATAAACTGCAATAATGTACATAGGCTCCAAAGGTAACTTACTGGATTTGAAATAAGTATTAGGTAGAATGTCTTTAAAAAGTGAACTGCATAAACTTTAAAAGGGTAAATTTTATGGTTTGTGAATTATATCTTAATTTTTAAAAAGTGAATTGCATTTTTATAAACTTAGACATTTAATTTGAAGCTAAAATTTGAGACATTAGCAAGATGATTTGGCTTACTACAGCTTTTTTGAGGAGCACTTTGGGCAAGGAATAAATAGAATTCTTTTTCCTGTAGTTTGATTAGTCTTAATAGTTCTTAAAATGTCAGTCCTAAGTTGTTGTTGTTGTTGTTGTTGTTTCTGATGACCCAACATGACTTTTTAGGCAGTTATTAAATTCTTACCTTGATAGGCTAAAAACATTTTAGTGAAAGGAGGCATCCTGACCAGGAAGTGAAGCACAGTGCCGCTATTGGAATAGTGGGAGCCATAGTGATAGGGCTGCACGGGAGGCATGGGGTCATCTTCTCTGGCTCCTTTGCGGTACTCTTCCTCCAAGTACTGAAAGAAACGGTGAATCCAGAGAATTCATGATTGTGGGCTCCAGGCAACGCTAGAAAAGTGCTGGATGTTTTTTTTTCTCTCCTTCTCTACTACCCCTTTGAGGCCATTCTCCATGGCTGGCCCTCCCACTCTTACCCAGGAGACTTCAGCCTCCTTGAGTGTCTGGGAGTCTTCTCCTTGGTGCCTCACTAAGACCCAAACACTCAGAAGCATTTCTCATCTCCACCTTCACTCTTTCATTCCCTCATAGAAAACCTACCTAACTTTGAGCACTCCACCTCCTAACTAATGGCTCATAATGTCTAAGCTGATCAAGCACCCAACAAATGAGAGGTGCTTCTGTCACTAGAGATGTCTTCATTTCAAAAGAGTTTCAAGATGTAATGCTATGCTGTCTAGAGAACTGCTTCTCTAGAAGTAGAAATGCAATAGAAATGTAAAAACTATGTCACATTATTGGTAATAATATAACATTTTAAGTCTGTTTTACAGTGCAGTTATCAGAGATAAAAAAAAAAAAGAATATGGTGATTTTTCACTACTCCTATCTTCCCATCATAAAGTAGGAAGTTCAACCAAACATTTAATATCTGTCACTATTCTTGTCTCCCATAGCTTCTGTCTGGTTCTGATAACAAAGTCAGGTATAGTGAATTTTCAAGAGTTACTTCTTGATTTCCACAGCAATGACGCATTTTCAACTGCTGAAGAATCAAGTAGTGACAGTCATAAGATGCTTAGAGGGATGTTTCAGGAACTGTGGCATAAAATAATGTGATGAATATGAGAAAAGTGTTTCAGTTGCTCCTGTCTTGATACTCGTGAAGAATGTAATGCGTAGCTATTGTGATTTTTGAATTTCCAATAGAATTTCATTAATATTAATTTCACAGAAAAAGGTAATTCATTTTATTTTTAAAATGTTAAAATCTGATAAATTTTTGTTTAATAAACCAATGCATAATTTCCTGAATATGACTAATGGTTATGGGTACATTATAAATATATTAACACTATTACATAAATAACACTAGGGGATACGAATAGCAGGTCCCTGGAAATCTTTGTGATTTTTATAAGGAATGTGACTACTAAATACTGGAATAAACAATGAGTTACTGGCTTTCAATTTATGCCAAAATAAGTGTATTCTTTTTCTGGGCAAAGTGTTCTCAGAAAATCAGGATAGAAAATGATATTTCATTTCACATAATGATTTCTAGTTGTCTGTCAATCCTAGTACAAGAAGGTAAAAAATCCATAGTATAAATTTAAAATTAGGTAAAACACAAGTCTGTAAAACAAAACACAATTTTTCATTTAATAAAGTACGAGTAAAAACAAAAGCTACCTTGTATGTGTCCACATAACGATCTTCTTTTTCTTTATACTGAACAGCTATAGGTTTAGAGAGATTTCTGCAAGAAAAGGACAATTTTAAAAATTAAATATTTTGATACTGTCAAGATTAAGCTCCCTAGATGTCTGCATCTTGTAAGTAGGTAAGTGGTCAACAAAATGCTCCACCCTTATTTCTCTGCTTAAACATATTGTTTTGTAACTAACAGTCACCATTCAAAATTATGATTTCAGAAATTAAGGTAGAATTTTCCCCACAGAGCCAGGCCAGTATTAGGAATTCCTGACTTACAAGTAGCCTAAATAAGAAGGGCTACTACTATCCTTCTTTCCCTTACTTCTGCAGCTTCCTCTAGAGTCATAACTGATGTTGCTCGTGGGAGCAGATTCCTAGACCAAGCCCTGAAAGTTAGTGTCCCATTTTCCAGACTCTACATCCAGTTAGGCGGTGTAGAATGAAGGGCAGTTTCGACAGAACTTAGGAACAGAGGAAGATGCTGTGTTATTAGCCTAGTTAGTTAAAACTGAAGAAACAACACGTGCTTAAAATGACCAAGCTGAGATTTGGAGACTGAGAACTGAAATAAATATTTTGCTACCTAGTTAGTAGATGGGGAGTAATACCATTGCGCACAGTGTAGAGTATGTATGCATGCGTACAAATCTGTCAGTGCCGGTGTTCACATTCTGTGAACACCACATGACACCATTCCTTGAAGCAGGAGAATGAATTCTCATCCCTCCAGGAATGAATCCTCACTTTTACAAGCTACAGAATCATGTGGTGTCCCTGTGTGGCACTTGAAGGAGCAAAAGAAAAAGCTCTGATGAAGAAGGGCAGGCTCTTTTGGCTGAGGAACCATCTGGTCTGGCACAGGCATGGGACCACCTGGATTTCAACCTGCAGCACCATAACTAGACCAACAGCAAGATTTGCCTACATTTCAGTGAGTCAAACCAGGTCTGCTTAACCACATGTTGATACATCTTTTTTTTTTTAATATAAATTACTATTTTCTAGGAATGTTGAAATTAGTTGTATTAAATGCACTAATTTTGTCTTTGAGATTTTTCTAATCATAAAAACCTTGTTAAAAAGCAAAAACAATTTATAGAATAGATACAAATTAACATCTAAAAACAGAGCAAAATCACTTAAGATGGCTGCCTACATTTTTTTTTTTTTCACTCTGGAGTGAAGTGGCGTGATCTCAGCTCACTGCAACCTCTGCCTCCCAGGTTCAAGCCATTCTCTTGCCTCAGCCTCCCAAGTAGCTGGGACTACAGGCATGCACCACCACGCCTGGCTAATTTTTGTATTTTTATTAGAGATGGGGTTTCTCCATGTTGGCCACGCTGGTCTCAAACTCCTGACCTCAGGTGATCCATCCACCTCGGCCTCCCAAAGTGCTGGGATTACAGGCGTGAGCCACCACGCCTGGCCTGCAATTTTTTATAGATAGTATAAATAGGGGTTTTTTTTTTTGGACACAAGCTATGTTAATAGTTGTAGCTGAAAAATACAAAATTACAGTTGAGCAAACAATAAACTAAAAATCAGCCACAATACTATTACCCTAGGCCACACATGTTGGTCTATACACACCCAGATGTTTTTGTATTTATCTGTGCAAGCATATTCACTTTTTTTTTTTTTCAGACAGTTTCACTCTGTCACCCAAACATGATCTCAGCTCACTGCAACCTCCGCCTCCCAAGTTCAAGTGATTTTCATGCCTCAGCTTCCTGAGTAGTTGGTCTCGAACTCCTGACGTCAGGTGATCTGCCTGCCTTGGCCTCCCAAAGTGCTGGGATTACAGACTTGAGCCACTGCGCCCAGCTTAAATCTGATTTCTTGAGAACTGTCTGAATTAGGCCCACTCTTTGGCACTTACAGCTGAAATACTCTAGTATACTAAGTGAAATATTTGGAGTCCATTTTTCTTTAAACTAAACATCAGAATATTTTTTCATATTAAACGAACAAAATATTCCCTCATCAACTAGGACTATTTGGTTACTCTAAAATACAGTTCATTCAGGAAAGGCAGAATAAATGCTGAATTCTGTTCCTTTAATTGCCAAATTTCAAAGTAAGGAATTGGTGCCCTATTACCTCTAATGGGACCAATGAATTTTGTTTCACTGTGTTTCCTTGGCCTTTTAAAAAGTATCACTATGACCTTACGTTTCTTTTTATTTCCATGTGTTTCAACTAATTGCAGTCATTATTCTTTTTATTCTCAGACTATCCTATCTTTGGCAGCGAGAGGCACTTCAAGTTGGCTTCTGAGTCCTTTTCTATTTTTATTTTTTGAGACGGAGTTTCACTCTTGTTATCCAGGCTGGGGTGCAGTGGTGCAATCTCGGCTCATCGCAACCTCCCCATCCCAGGTTCAAGCAATTCTCCTGCCTCAGCCTCCCAAGTAGCTGGAATTACAGGCATGTGCCACCACGGCCGGCAAATTTTGTATTTTTAATAGAGTTAGGGTTTCACCATGTTGGCCAGGCTGCTCTTGAACTTCAGGCCTCAAGCCATCAGCCCACCTTGGCCTCCCAAAGTGCTGAGATTACAGGAGTGAGCCACCACGCCTGGCCAACTTCTGAGTCCTTTTGACAAGACCATATTAGTTTCCTCGCTTTCTGACACAACAAAACATCCTAGGCTCACCTTGTCTATTTTCTTCTAATAAATTTAGAAGAAATGAGAGAATGGGAAATCAACATTTTGCAACCTCTAGTGAAATAATTGATTCAAGCAATAATCATCAATGGATGAAACCATTAGGTACAAATTCAATGGGAGCCTGAGCCCACAGATCAAACTGAGCACCATTACAGTGGAATATCATAGGCTTCCTGATATGATACAATATAAAGCTCACTCCTCTCAACCATGCAGAATGATAAAAAAAAAAAAAAGGAAAATATATATAAAGCTCACATCACCACCTATAAAGGATTCTTGCCAAAAAAAGAGTTGAACCTGAAACTAAGCAAGACTTTTCCAGTCTCTAGGAAATACAGGGGTTATGGGAACAAACCAAACGACGTCATGGGAAGCAATCAGAAAATACAGAATGTGAAGCCTCCAAAAGAATAAGTGACCTGGTTTTTCCAACAAGTCAATGTCAGGAGAAAATAAAGAGAAAAAATACACATAAAAAATAATGGCTGGCTGGGTGTAGTGGCTCATGCCTGTCATCTCAGCACTTTGGGAGGCCAAGGTGGGTGGATCACAAGGTCAAGAGATAGAGACCATCCTGGCCAACATGGTGAAACCCTGTCTCTACTAAAAATACAAAAATTAGTTGGGCATGGTGGCAGGTGCCGGCAGTCCCAGCTACTCAGAGGCTGAGGCAGGAGAATCGCTTGAACCCGGGAGGCAGAGGTTGCAGTGAGCCGAGATTGCGCCACTGCACTCCAGCCTGGTGACAGAGTGAGACTCTGTCTCAAAAAAAAAAAAAAAAAAAAAAAAAAAAAGGCTATTCTAGGTATATGTTCAGAGATATAGCAACCAAACATGACAATGGACCTGATTCAAGACAACCAACTATAAAAAGCTATCTTTGAGAGAAGCAGGGGACATTTGGAAATGGACTAGATATTAGATGATATCATGGAATTATTGTCAATTTTCTTACATGTGATAATAGCACTGTGGTTGAGATGTTCTATTTTTTAAAGAGATGCATACTGTAGAACAAAGAAGTGACATAACAAGATGTCTGCAATTTGCCTTAAATAAGAAAAAAAAGTTAATGTAAGTTTGGCAAAAATCTTCATAATTCACAATTGTTGAACCAGGGTGATAGGTATGTGGGGTCTTATATAATTCTTCTATTTTGTGCATGTTTGAAATTTTTCATAATGAAAACTTTAATAAAGAAATACAACATATGGATGGATGAACCCTAAAGGTGATGATTCTTTTAACTTACCTGTATATCAACAGATCATTGAGGTCAAGTGTCTCACTAACGTAGTCAGCAAGTATAAATGGGAACACAGGATACTGCATGAGATCATTGAAGGATCGGCCAGCATGTTTGTTTAAGTGAGTCAAATATTCAAAATTAGTAATTTGCCCAGTATACCATAAATTTGTCAGAGCGGTGATGTTACCATATTCCAGAAGATTAGGGAGGTTATTTGTGAGTATATTGTGGTATACATCATCACGAACCTAAAAGGGAAGGAGAAGAAAAAAACCCAGATATTATTTTTAGTCTTATTGGCACTTTTCTCCAAAGAACCCATGACATTATAGACATGTTACAAATCTCATGTCCTCCAAAAAAAGATTTTTTTCTCAGTAACATTAATGGGTAGAGAACTGAGATTCAAGTCCAGGTTGTCCTCCAGAGGCTGGGCTCTTCACCACTATGCTTTACTGCTGCAGAAATATGTTAATAAAAACCTTCTAAGAAAAAGTTTGTATAGAAAAGTCACTTAAGACACAGATACTAAAAGAAAAAAAAATAAGGAAAAAAGAAGAGTTTTCTTCTAAATAAATGCAATATGGTGTAGTAGAAACAGCACGGTCTTCTGAATTGGACAGATCTGGTATATTTTCCTGCTAACCTTCTGTGCTACAGTTACCATGTCTATAATATGGGAGTGATAATATTTCTCTCATAAGAATTAAATAAAGTATCCTATGTAAATAGGATATTTGATTTTCACTACTGATTGAAAACATATATAAACTCTTTTTTAGAGATTCACAATAGTTTTGTCACAGAAAAGGGGTATTGGTTCTTTTAAAGCAATTAAATAATGATTGCTAATAAATGAAAAAAACAGACAAGACGAGCTTTGCTAAAAACAGATATGAAATACCCATTCTAAGCAGGTATATGCTTCAGACACAGGAAGAAGAGCCACAGATATGGATAATGAGAGAGTGAACTTAATGAGGAAATGTACTGGTAGTTGTGGAATAGGCAAAACCACAGAGAATAGAACATCCTAAACCTGTAGCCTAAATCTGAAGTTTGCCAATTGTTAGCGCTAAGGTCCACGGAAGGGGATTTATGACAGACTATAAGCCAAGCCCTGGAAGGAAAAGGAGGCATTCATTTATTCAACAAATATGAACTGAATACCTACATACCAGTAGTGTTCAAAATTCTGAAGAACTGGAACTTAACAAAGTAAAGACTTGGCATTCTACTGGGGAGAGGCAGAAAATGCTGGATGCTAATACATCCTATAGAGAAAAACAGACCAAAGTAAAGGAGGTAAGGGGTGCTTGGTGGAGAGGGAGGGGTGGCTACTTTATAGAGTCAGGGAGGGCCTCTCTGATAAGAAGATATTTGATCAGGAAACTTGAAAAAGTGACAAAGCAAATCATTAGGATTTCTAAGGAGAAAAACATTCCAGGCAACAATGAATGCAAAGTCCCCGAGGCACTGGTGTGCCTGACATTCAAGGCATGGATGGAGTAGACAGAGCGAGGGAGAGAACAGCAGACAATGACGTCAGAGAGGTAACAAGGTACGAGATTATCCAGGGCTTTATCAGGTTATTGGAAGGACTTTGCCTTTAACTGAATGTGACATGAAAGTGATTGAAGGATTCTGAGCAGAGAAAAGATATGATCCAACATACTTTAGCTGCTGTGTTGAGAATAATCTGAAGGGGGGCTAAGGGGCTTTCTATAGAGGAGAGCAGAGAAATGGTAGTGAAGGGACTGGAGGTCAAGAAAGGGTTTGTCAAAGTCATTGTAGCTGAAAGTCACTACAGCACTGAGCAAGTTTTTTGTTTTGTTTTGTTTTGTTTTAGATGGAGTCTCACTCTGTTGCCCAGGCTGGAGTGTAATGGCGTGATCTTGGCTCGCTGCAACCTCTGCTTCCCAGGTTCAAGTGATTCTCCTGCCTCAGCCTCCCAAGTAGCTGGGACTACAGGCATGTGCCACCATGCCCCGCTAATTTTTGTATTTTTAGTAGAGACGGGGTTTCACCATGTTGGCCAGGCTGGTCTTGAACTCCTGACCTCATGATCTGCCCGCCTCGGCCTCCCAAAATGCTGGGATTACAGGCATGAGCCACTGTGCCCGGCCCTGAGCAAGTTTAAACTACTTCGTTTCAGTCATTTTGGGGAATCAGAATTTAACACAATTTTGGAGGTCAAAAATAATCATCATATAACCAAGGCTTTCCTTTAATTAGGACTAAGAAATATGGCAATTTTTATTTGATTTCAGAAACAGTATGGATGCAGGAAGGCCAGTTAGGAGGCTACTGTAAATGATTCTGGCAAGAAATGATAGTGGCTTAAACCAGGATGGTAGCAGTGGAAGCAGTCAGACTCTCGATGTATTCTGAGGACAGAGCCAACAGAACCTATTAATAGAGTGTATGCAGGGTATGAGAGAAGAACAAGAGTCTTGGATAATCTCAAGAGTTTTGGCCTGGGCATTGGAAAGATGGAGTTGTCATTTACTGAGATAGAGAAAACTGGAAGGAAATTATGGGGGGAAGATTAGAAGTTCAGTTTTGTACAGGTTACGTTTGAGATGTCAATTAGTGACTTCTAAATGGAGACATCAGTCGGGAGTTACAATATGTGAGTGTGGCATTCAGGGGAGAGGTTTGGGTAGTGACATAAATGTGTAAGTTGTTAGAATACAGATGGTATTTTAAAGTCATAAGACTGGATGAGAAGAGAAGAGGTCTGAGGAAGGAGCCCTGCAACACACCAAGGAGGCGTCTGCAACCAAGACTGAGAAGCAATGGCTGGTAAGGTATAAGAACTAAGAGAAAATGGTAACCCAGAAGCCCAGGGAGGAAGGTTTTATTTAAGGAGAGAAAAATCAGCTGGGTCAAATGCTGCCAATAGGTCAAGTAAAATGGGGACAAAGAAAGATTATGACATTACGGGTTTAGCAACATAGAGGTTACCGATGACCCTGACGAGAGTGGTGAGAAGTCTGTCTGAAGCATTTCAAAAGAAAACTGGAGGCAGCAAGCATATGCAACTTTCCCCAACAGTTTTTCCATAAAGGAGAGCAGAGAAATGGTGGCCGAAGGGATTAGAGGTCAAGAGAGTTTGTCAAAGATGGACCCTGCTACAGCACTGAGCAAGTTTAAATTACTCCTTTCAGTCATTTTGGGGAATCAGAATTTACCTCACTGTGGAGGTCAAAGACAATCCTCATATAACAAAGGCTTCACTTTAATCAGGACTAAGAAACATGGCAATTTTATTCGATTTCAGTAAACCTTCATGTAATCAGTATGAGTATAGTTACAGTGGCCCATGAGCACTTAAACAATATATATCAATTAATAAGGGTGAATTTACCTTGGTGTTATCAAATGCCAACAGGAGTGTTCTGCCATTTGTTAGAAAGATTTCTACAGCATTATCTCTCAATTGCCACCAACGCTTGTGAACTTCTTTAATTTCTTCATATGTCCAGGAAAATGATGCTGGTTCCAACTCTCCCTGAAGGCTCTAAGACAAAGAAATAGGCAAAAATATTTGTTTTACCGGAAATATAAATAATTACTTTAATTTTAGATTTTAAAAAGCATCAAAATAAAACAGAAAATCTTTTTGTGGCAGATGGCAGATAAGATTACCTGAAAACTCTCCCAATGCAAAACACCTCAAAATGAATGATAAAATTTAGAAATAAAAAAAATAGGCTTTATTTTTTAGACTAGTTTTAGGTTTACAGAAAATTGAGCAGATAATACAGAATTCTCACGTATCCTCCCCTCCCTTGGCCCTGCACTCACAGTTTCTCTATTATTAAATCTTGCATTTGGTGTGGGACACTAATTACAATTGATGAACCAATATTGCTACAATTTTTCTTACCTAAAGTCCAGAGTTTATATTCACTCTTTGTGTTGTACATTCCATGGGTTTTGACAAATGTATAATGACATGTATCCACCAAATAGTTTTATTGCCCCAAAAACCCTCGGTACTCCACCTACTCATCCCTCCTTTCCTCTCCCCAATCTCTGGCAACCACTAATTTGTTTACTGTCTCTATAGTTTTGCCTTTTCCAAAATGTCATATAGTTCGAATTATACAGTATATAGCCTTTTAAGGTTGGCTTCTTTTACTAAGCAAATATCCTTTTAAATACATAGCTGAGCTTGCAAGAAAACAAGGGAAATGACATCCCCAGAAGTCAAAAATGTAGAGGAACTGGAAAATCAGCACTAAGCAGGGAGTGATACTCTGGTTGCTCTGTTGTATGTGTCTGCATATGCATGCATGTATGCACATACCCCAGTTTCAGAAACAAATTGACGTAGGTTCACAGCAACTTGAGGACAGAAGATGAGGCCCTGGGCCCCTAGAATCAGGGTATGGAATTGAGATTGCTTCAGAAAGCTAAAACCTAGGAAGGGATTTGTTCCTAATGAAAGATTAGACAAACAAATGTGCCCATCAATAAAGGGGAATAGGCCGGGTGCGGTGGCTCATGCCTGTAATCCCAGCACTTTGGGAGGCGGAGGCAGGCAGATCACTTGAGGTCAGGAGTTCAAGACCAGCTTGGCCAACATGGTGAAACCCCATCTCTACTAAAAATACAAAAATTAGTCGGGAGTGATGGCAGGCACCTGTAGTTCCAGCTACTCGGGAGGCTGAGGCAGGAGAATCACCTGAACCCAGGAGGCGGAGGTTTTGGTGAGCCGAGATCACGCCACTGCACTCCAGCCTCAGTGACAGAGTGAGACTCTGTCTTAAAAAAATAAAAAATAACAAAATAAAAATAAAGAGGATTAACCAGGAAGCAAGCTTGTCTCTTTTGGCCTGGAGCCTAGAGCATAGAAAAAAAGCCTCTCTCTGAGAATTCATAACTGTGGGCCTGCCATCATATAGATTTAGGTTAAATCCATGTCTGGATGGCCTGGAAACGCCCGAGCTGTGAAACAGTTCTCATGCTTCCGAGTCATTCAGCAAAGGGAAAGCAGAGTCTCTGGAGGAGCATTCCTGGAACTAATGGGGCATTCCTGCAAATAAAGCCCCACTCACTAAATGTAAGCTGACAGATCAACACATACCAAATAGATACATTCCCCTGCTAGGTGGTCAACAGAAGAAAAGAAGATGAGAAAAGAATCACTGGAAGGTTGAATCTGCTTGAGAGTATTAATCCTAGTGTACTCAGACAAATCCCCACATTCTGAAATGAAGAGGTAGGGACCACAGGGCCTACACATCCTACCATCACTAGGTCCCTCCCAAAGTACAAAATCAAGAAAAACTTAAAAAAAATGCATCTTAATCTTTTGTAAATTGTAACTGAATACATAAATTATGCTACTTAATGCTTTTAATAGAGAAATAATGAAAAGTTTCTACTAAAGTTTAAAACTAGCTAGAATTTATCTCCTCAAATCAACCTGCATCCTAGTTTTCTTTTTTAAATCAGTTTTTTTCCTTTTAAAAAAATTGCATTTACTTACTCTTCTGTGTTGACTAACAGGAAGCTCAGAGCAAATTTAGGACTCAATTGCCAAGAACTATTTTATCCTAGGCTCTTTATCTTTCCAAAACCTTAATTTTTTTTTTTAGATTCAGATTATCCTACTCTATGTGTGTTTTACTATTGTTCTTGGTCCAAAATAATTTTTATAAGTAGAGGCAGGGAATATATTATGAATAAAATAAAATGTCTTAATGAAAATGTAATATTTTCATACTTAAAACTGAATTCTTCCTTTGTTTAGTTTCAACATTCATTCAACATATATTAATTAACATCTATGCGCAAGGTACTCTGCTAAGTGCTCTGCATGAAATACATCTGTATGGGTCAAAAAGGGGGCATGAAATATTTGTACACACATTTGCACACACAACGCAAGATACCAAATGTTATATAAGAAGAACCAACATTACAAAAGTACATAGGAAAGAAGGATCTTTCAATCTATTGAGAAGCAAGGGCATTTTTAGATTTGAAAAAAAAATTTTCCTCTTTATTTAAATATAAAACACATTTATAGCATGCAAGTTGACTTAAAATTAAATGGTGTCTTCCCAGACCAAGTATTTGTGAATGTATCCTCAAGCACTGAAAATAAACCAACATATTCGACAGATGGACTCAGACTCTTCTGTCACCTCATGTCAAATGGAGTTAAACACAAATTGAGTAGAATTTTTAAGGGGAAAAACTGTCATCTTTTGGACATACAAAAAAGTTGTCTCATACATCAACTATTAAATTCCTTGGCTGATAAAAGGATCCATCTTGAAAAATAACATAACTATATTTTACTATCTGGGACATACCCTGTGGTAATTGCTATATAAATGAGAAAAGAATGCTGTTCATATTTCTGACTACTTTAAATACTTTCATGACTTTTTTTTTACATTTATTTTATAACCAAACTTCATGTTTTCACTCACTACTTTCTTTCTTTCTTTTTTTTTTTTTTTTGAGACAGAGTCTCGCTCTGTTGCCCAGGCTGGAGTGCAGTGGTGTGATCTCGGCTCACTGTAACCTCCGCCTCCTGGGTTCAAGCGATTCGCCTGCCTCAGCCTCCCGAGTAGCTGGGATTATAGGCGCCACCACCACAACTGGCTAATTTTTTTGTATTTTTAGTAGAGATAGGGTTTCACCATGTTGGCCAGGCTGGTCTCAAACTCCTGACCTCAGGTGATCCACTCACCTCAGCTTCCCAAAGTGCTGGGATTACAGGCGTGAGCCACTGCACCCAGCCTAATTTATTTAAAATAAAATATATATTAGTAATTAAACCACACATAATCTCATTTAGTATATCCTTAGGAATTCCCGGCTTTAGAACTTTTCTGAAACAAAAAGCTTATTTCTCCTATTACAGGAATCTCAAAAAATATTTTAATGGCATAAAAGATAATTCAAATAAAAAGCTTTATTATACAAAAAATATGTCTATTTTCTGATTAATATCAGTCTGTCTAGAATAATAACAATTATCATTATTAAGCTATGTGAATATCAGAATTACTTAAGTTATTCAATTATTTAATATTTTTCCTTTCTTTCTGAAGGCAAAGGTACTTGATAGTGAACTGGGAGTGGCAAGGAATAGATATTTGTTGCAACGGAGGACAGTAATAAGAAGGAATGAACATAAATTGATATAATAGGAGCATTTAGAATATGACTTATATTAACTGCTATGATACTTGGGCCATAAGCCAGAGGAGATGGTACAGTCTTCTTTTTAAAATTATATTTAAAAAAATGTTTGGAACTCAGACCAATCTATACATAGAGTGACAAAGAATGAACTCTAATAGTTCTTCCTTCTCTCTAGTTATACTGAATTGATACATTTTTGGAATCTGTCTAGATTTATGTAAATACAGACTTAAGCCTCTACTCACCGAACTTTCAACTGTATCAGAAGCATTATCTTCCACAAAATACATTCCACATTTACCTGCAGAAAGTAATTGGATATAAGGGTTTTAAAATGTATGTGCACACTACCATTCATGGTTTAATGCATGGTCTCTGGAGTCCTTTGGTCTGAATTTGAATCTCACTACCTCGACACAGTTCCTGGCACTCAATAAATATTTTTGAATAGTATCCATGAAGTCTTGGGCAAGTTGCTTTACCTCTTTGTGTCTTAATTTCTTTATTAAAAAAAAAGGTTGCAGGGAGCTCTATTTCACAGAGCTACTATGGAAATTAAATTAGAATATATGCAAAATGCATATGTGCTCAGTGCTAAATAAATGTTGGCTATTTATTATTACCATTATTCTTACATTACTAGCATATAGATTTGCTTTATTTTGTTCCACACTAATTGAAGTCAAGTGGTAAACCAAATTATCTAGCCAAAGGGAAATCCTTAATTATTTTGCAGACTGAGACACTCAATAGGGTAGAGTAGGCCCTAAACATAGCCTCCAACTTTTTCCTGTTTCATAGGCTGGCTGTTGCTAACCCATGTCCCTACATCGTGTTTTAAAATGTTGGGAACTTCTCTGAGGTTCCGCCCCCTGCATGCTCATCACCCTCGAGTAGTGAAGTAGTGAAGTAGTGAAGTAGTGGCATGGCTAGCTCAGAGAAGGGTACTATCTCCATCCTTGTGACGGTGGGGCTCAGTCCCAGCAGGCTTGAAGCTCCATATCTTGGACCTTGGAGGCTATAGCTTACAACATTCATTCTCGAATTTGAAGGTACATCAAATCACTGGAGGGCTCATCAGAACATAGACTGCTGGGCCCCACCCTCAGAATTTCAGATTCATCAAGTCTGGACTGAGGCGTGAGAATGTGCAATTCTAAGAAGCTCCCATGAGATGCTGATGCTACTAATTCAGGGTTCTCACACTTGGAGAACCTAGCCTACAGCATACAGATTGATTCTTTAAGGGAATAGAGATCAAGTGGTATAATTGTTTTCCTTCATATTTTGAGAATAAAATTTTCAAACAAATATAACTATATAGGTATCTATGGACTAACAATCTTGTCCTTTCTCTCAGAAGCACAATAGAGAATATAAATTATGGACAATCTTAAAATAGACATATTTCTTATGGACAGTTATATCTGATAAAATAGTAGGTAAGATATCAACAATTTTTCACTTTAAAAAATCTAAATTGGCATATAATAAAAGAAATGGTTAAATATAAATTTGCATATCATGAAGAAACAATTTTATAAAAACTAAAATGCTATTCATGTGCTTTTCAGAACACAAGATATCATTTCTTCACATTCATGACTCATATGCAATTACATATAATGTTAAGGCAAATTAGCCTATATGATACTACAGAAAGTTTATCCAATTTAATGGCATGCTGTCAAAAAACACTTTAAATAATCTAAGAATCAAATAAGGCAGGGTGAATATGTGCAAAAT